>NC_000001.11:51826562-51978077 GCF_000001405.40 Homo sapiens | reverse complement strand
ATGGGTAGGAGTCTTTTAGGAGGAAAAGAGAATTCTAGGCAGAAGGAATACATGTAAGGGACAAAGGCAAGGAATAATGTGGCTTATTTGGCATAAAGTGTGTAATTAGATCTAAGGGAAGCACAGGTTGGTGAAGAGAAGGGGTATGGGAAGATAAAGTTTAGAGAATTGCCTCTTTGGTTAGTTGGTTATTTGTCAAATTGAACAGTTTGGACTTGATCTTTAGAGCTGTGGAAAGCCATGAAAGTTTCTATGTTTTATTTATTTTATTTTTTAGAGATGAGGTCTTGCTCTGCTACCCAGGCTGGCATTCAGTGGCATGATCATGGCTCCCTGCAGCGTCGAACTCCTGGGCTCAAGTGATCCTCCCACCTCAGCCTCCTGAGTCATAATAGTTTTTGAAGCAAGAGAATGATAGCCCTTTACTGAGTCTTTCCTTGGATGTGCATGTGTTTGCTGTTCTTGGCTTTTTTTTTCTTTCCCCAAAATAGCTCAGGAGCTGCTTCCTCCAGGAGCCTCTCCTTGATCACCGGGCCTCCAGGCTGAATGAGATGCTTCTCATGGACTTCCTCAGCCAGGACTCCTCTGTCTTATCACTTATCTACTGCTTTGTTACTCTGTGTTGACCCACCTTTTATTCTAGTTTTTGTCCACCTAGAGGTCAGGCACCATGTCTGACTCATGTTTGTAAGCCCCATGCCCAGCACAGGGCTTGCCCCAGATCAATGTGCTCAGTAAATATTTGCTGAAGGAATGAATGGGAGGAGCTGGGTTCCACCTCAGTGCTGAGACAACATTTGGGGCAGGTGTAGTGATGGGGTGATTCTGAGTAGTGTGCATTTCCTCAGTGGTGCTGGAGTAAGGAGTGAGTGTGTGAATGGTGGGGTGACCATTAGAAGGATGGTGACTCAGGGTGACACCGAAGGTCTGTTCCTGAGTGACTCTAGGTCTCTCTTGCAGATGGCTTCAGTGACAGATGGTAAAACTGGAGTCAAAGATGCCTCTGACCAGAATTTTGACTACATGTTTAAACTGCTTATCATTGGCAACAGCAGTGTTGGCAAGACCTCCTTCCTCTTCCGCTATGCTGATGACACGTTCACCCCAGCCTTCGTTAGCACCGTGGGCATCGACTTCAAGGTGAAGACAGTCTACCGTCACGAGAAGCGGGTGAAACTGCAGATCTGGGTGAGTCCCGGGAATCTTGGGCAGGATTTTCCTGAGAAGCGGCTGGCCTGCCAGTACAAGGGCTTAGAGGTGGGGCCAGCTTGGAACTTCTGGGCCTTACAGCATCAGGCATTAATGCTGTTTCAGGTGTGGCCCCTGGGCTACCCTCTGCTAGTTTTATACAAGTTTGCTCTCCTCCAGGGGTTCAGTTGCTTCTGCTGTTTAACTATCCAGGAGGTTTTATGTTGGCTTGTCTAAATGAGTGACCAAGAAACTGGGGCTTGGAGTTAGAGACTTGGGTTCAAATTCTGCTTCTACCACTTACTAGTCATGGAACTTGACTGAATTGCTTAACTTCTCTGGGGCACCCTTTCTCCTTTGGGGATTGTAATAGCATCTACATCATAAGGCTGTTGGGTCCTTAGGTCCTTGGCTTAGTTCCTGGAACATAGTAAATGCACACTAAATGTTAGCTAAGGTATCAGTTATCTACTGTCGTATAACAAATCACTTCATAAGTTCATAGTGCCAGACTGGGCAACATTGTGAGACCTCATCTCTCAAAAAAATAAAACAAATTAGCTGGGCATGGTGGTGGGCTCCTGTAGTCCCCATTACTTGGGAGGCTGAGGTGGAAGGATTGCTTGAGCCCAGGAGGTCGAGGCTGCAGTGAGCCATGATCATGCCACTGCACTCCAGCCTGTGCAACGGAGCGAGACTCCATCTCAAATAAATAAATAAATAAATAAATAAATAAATTGGTAGTGTCAAACAACAATAATAATTCATTATCTCATAGTTTCTGTGGATCAAACATTTGGGAGTGGTTGGGGCCTCTCATGAGGTGTAGCCAGATGTTGGCTTGGCTTGCAGTCATCTGAAACATACACTGGAGCTGGAGGATCTTTTTTTTTTTTTTAAGACGGAGTCTTGTCCTGTTGCCCAGGTTGGAGTGCAGTGACATGATCTCAGCTCACTGCAACTTCCGCCTCCCGGGTTCAAGCGATTCTCCTGCCTCAGCCTCCCGAGTAGCTGGGACTACAGGTGCCCGCCACCATGCCCAGTTAATTTTTGTATTTTTAGTAGAGATGGTGTTTCACCATGTTGGCCAGGCTGGTCTCGAACTCCTGACCTTGTGATCCGCCCACCTCGGCCTCCCAAAGTGCTGGGATTACAGGTGTGAGCCACCGCGCTTAGCCTGGGGCTGGAGGATCTTAAGACTGCACACTCACATGTCTGGTGCTAGCTGTTGGCAGAAGGCCTTACTTCGTTCCCATTTGGCCTCTTAGAGTGTCTTCACAGAGCTGCTGAAGTGTCTTTATTTGCATAGCAGCTGGCTTTTCCCAGAGTGAGAGATGTAAAAGGCCAGAGGAAGTGGCAATGTCTCTTATGAGTTAGCCTTAGCCTTACAGCGTTCTGTTGGTCACTGATTCAGCATGGGAGGAAACTACACAAAAGTGTGGATATTGGGAGGAAAGTATCACTGGGGACCATCTTGGAAGCTGGCTGCCACAGCTACTATTATTATTAGTATCTGCCAATAGTACTAATAAATTATGCACATATTTTAGATGATATAGCAACATGTAGATCATATAGTTTTCAAAAATGAATTAGTACCTGGATTGGAAATTTTGAAAATTTGTGATTTAAAGTATTTAAAACATGTATTATTATTATTTTATTTTATTTTTTTCGAGACAGAGTCTCACTCTGTCACCTGAGCTGGAGTGCAGTGGCACTATCTTGGCTCACTGCAATTTCCACCTCTTGGGTTCAATCGATTCTGTTGCTTCAGCCCCCCAAGTAGCTTCAATTATAGGCGTGTGCCACCACGCCTGGCTAATTTTTGTATTTTTAGTAAAGATGGGTTTTCACCATGTTCACCAGGCTGATCTTGAACTCCTGACCTCAGGTGATCCACCCGTGTTGGTTTCCCAAAGTGCTGGGATTACAGGCGTGAGCCACCACGCCCAGCCAAAACGTATGTTATTTATTATCTTTCTATTCTGCGTGTTAAATGTACATTAATACATTATGCATATATCTTATTGGGGCAGTCTGTATGTAGTACTTTTCTTTTTACAAATTATTTCCCATATACTATCTCACAATTAACACTATGAAGTAGGTACTACTTTAATACACTCCTGTTTTGCAGGATAAGAAACTCAGAGATTAGTTAACTTGCCTTAGGTCAACAACACTGCTATAAAGTGGGATTTCAACAAGATCTTCTGATTCAAAAGTATGTGCTCTTTTCTCTACACTGTGCATCTGAGGTATTATAGAGTTCATATTTCCCTTCATGATAATGTCAAATATTATATAGGGATAAAAGTTCATTTTGTTCATTTGCTCTCTATTAAAGGCATTGAGGAGTCAGAGATCATTAGAAATAGAAGAAGCTATACGGGTCGTCTAGTTCACTGATTCCCAGACCCATGGCATCAGCATCACCTTGGAATTTGTTAGAAATGCAAATTTTCAGGCCCACCTCAGAACTATTGAGTCAGAAACTCTGGTGGGTGAGTGACAACCATCTGTGCTATAACAAATTTTCCAGGTGGTTTTGTGGCTGGCTAACATTGTAGAACCACTTAGTTTAACTAGCTTGAGGTGAAAGTCAACATGCATTTACTAAAAGCACCTATTAGGTGCCAGGTGCTTTCACTTGTGTTATTTGATATCATCCTTACAGTTCCATGCACAGGGGGATGTGAGAGCACAGAATATTTGGGGCATGGTGAGCAATACAGTAAAACTGGATCAAGGTTGTGAAAGAGCAGAGAGTGGGTGCTGAGAGAAATTTGCTGGAGAGGCTATAGGTGGCAGATTGGGGGTCAAAGAGATCTTCCACAGCAAACAGAAAGTTCTTGTCATCGGTCAGAGGATTCATGCTTGATGATTCCTTAGGGAACTGAAGAAATTATTAGAGCTTACTTTTAATCTTTGAACATAAGATATTTTTTACTGATATTTACTATGTGGATTGACAGAAGTGTCTTTGTTTGACCCCCATATCAGATGGTCAGATAGCCTACACTCAAAAAATCTTGAGATAGGAGGAGGCATTGTGCCCTTCTGAGGGGTTGACAGTGGACTGACTCACTTCTTTGTTTATGTTCAGCCAATTGTGAGCTTTTGTGGTTTTCTTGTGCCTGGGTAAGTGGATTTATTGATTACATGGTCTAGTTTTAACTAAATGAAACCTCATAATGGATATGTGGCTTTTAAAGAGTCCTATAAAGAAACCTCTGATTGAAGACTATGCTAGAAGATTATAGTGAATCCAAGTGAGCATAAAGAAAATGGCTGAACTGGTGTTTTTCCAACTCCCAACACAAGTTCATTGTCAGCCACGTTTCGAGGTAAAATCAATGATAATCTAATTAGATACGACATAGTCAATCTCCCATCCAAGTACTAACCAGGCCCAACCCCTCTTAGCTTCCGAGATCAGATGAGATCGGGCGCGTTCAGGGTGGTATAGCCATAGATGACATGGTCAATCTCATTGCTTTTGCTGAAGGAAAATTAGCAAAGGGTTTTTATGTGTGTGTATGTGCTTTTATGCAGCAAAAATAAAGTTTTCTGGACTATTCATGAATACATTAGATTTTAAACATTTAAATATTGTTTATTTTAATTTTATATATTTTAATATCTTGTGTATAGAAGTAGACATATAGATATATAATCTAAAGAATACACATATACTGTGTGTGCTGTACCTACATTTTTCTTACTTAAAGGGATGTAAGTTGGAGACCACCACCATAGGCACTGGGGAGCCATAGAAGGGTTTAAACAAGTTAGATTTGCATTTTAGAAAAATTCCTGGCTTCAGTTTGAAGGGTGGATGGAAATGAGGCAAAGAAACCAGGGTTTTGGATCCAAACTCATCAAATTGTATACATTAAATAAGTGAATTTTTTTGTGTATCAATTATACCTCATAAAGGCTATCTAAAAATTAATAAACAAATATAGTAGTGACCAGCTATAAAAGAAAGGAAGCAAGCAAGCAAGCAAGGACTTGGGTAAATTATATGGGGCTGAACTAAGTGTATTATTCTGCTCTGGCTGCCATAACAAAATACAATTGAAATTAATTTTCTCACAGTCTGGAGACTGGAAGTCTAAGATCAAGGTGCCAGTAGGGTTGATGTCTGATGAGAGCTCTCCCCTCGGGCTGCCTTCCCACTCTGTGTTCTTGTGGCCTTTCCTTGGTGCATGGGCATGGGGGAGAGATAGTGCAAACTCTTTGGTGTCTCTTCTTATAATGATATGAATTCTGTTGGATCAGGAACTCACTCTTATGACATCATTTAACTTCGATTACTTCCTTTGAGGCCTCATCTCCAAATACAAGCACACTGAGGGATGAGCAACACTCCAACTCAAAAAAAAAAAAAAAAAGAAAAAAGAAAAAAGCATAGTGTATACTGTATAGGATTAGGTACTATCTAGGGCTTCAACATACACATTTTGGGAGGACATAGACATTCAGTCCATAACGCTAAGAGTGACAAAATGACATAAGGGATGGAAATGAAGAGAGAGATTTGGAACTAGAATTTACAGAATTTGATGATCAATTGCTGTCCCCTCTTATCCTTGGTTTCACTTTCCAAGATTTCAGTTACCTGGGGCCCTCTAGATCTGAACATACTAAACAGAAAATTCTAGAAATAAGCTAATAAATTTTAAATTGCACACTGCTTTTTTTTCTTTGAGATAGAGTCTCGCTCGGTTGCCCAGGCTGGAGTGCAATGGCATGAGCTCAGCTCACTGCAACCTCCACCTCCCGGGTTCAAGCAATTCTTCTGCTTCTGGAGCAGCTGAGATTACAGGCGTACACCACCACGCCTGGCTAATTTTTGTATTTTTAGTAGAGATGGGGTTTCACCATGTTGGCCAGGCTTGTCTTGAACTTCTGACCTCAAGTGATCCACCTACCTCGGCCTCCCGAAGCTCTGGGATTACAGGCGTGACCCACCGTGCCTGGCCTAAATTGCACACTGTTTTGAGTAGCATGATGAAATATTGCACTGTCTTGCTCTGTCCTGCCCAGGGCGTGAATGATCCCTTTATCCAGCATATCCGTGCTGTATTTGCTATCTGCCCATTAGCCACTCAGTAGCCATCGTGGTTATGAAATTGAAAAAACATAGTGTGGTCTGGGTGCAGTGGCCCACGCCTGTAATCCGGCACTTTGGGAGGCTGAGGTGGGAGGATCATGAGGTCAGGAGTTCGAGACTAGCCTGGCCAACATAGTGAAACCCCACCTTTACTAAAAATACAAAAAATTAGCTGGGCGTGGTGGCAGGCTCCTGTAATCCCAGATACTCAGGAGGGTGATGCAGTAGAATTGCTTGAACCTGGGAGGCAGAGGTTTCAGTGAGCCAAGATTGCGCCATTGCACTCCAGCCTAGGCGACAGAGCGAGACTCCATCTCAAAAAAAAAAAAAAGAAAAGAAAAAAGAAAAAGCATAGTGTATACTGTATAGGATTAGGTACTATTTGAGGTTTCAGGCATCCACTGAGGGTCTTGGAACTTATCCCCCAAGGATAGGGGGAGACTGCTTTCATTGTAAAGGGAAAGGGGGAACATTTATGTGTGTTTATACATATCACTTCTGTACACAAAAGTTTTGTGATTTTTTTTTTTTTGGTTTTGTGAGCTTTGATAAATCACTTCATTTTTATGACTAGTTAATGTCTTCAACTATTAAAGCCTCATAGGTTTGCTGGTGGTGAGGGGGCCTAAATGTGATAACATAATACTGTGTCTGGGGAATGCAATAAATATTGGGTTCCTTCCTTTCTCTACCTTTGGGTCCACATGGAAGGGGTCACTGGGTTGCTTTCTTTCTTTTTTTTTTTTTTTTTTTTTTTGAGACGGAGTCTCGCTCTGTCACCCAGGCTGGAGTGCAGTGGCACGATCTCAGCTGACTGGAAGTTCTGCCTCCTGGGTTCACGCCATTCTCCTGCCTCAGTCTCCCGAGTAGCTGGGGCTACAGGTCCCAGCCACCAAGCCCAGCTAATTTTTTTTTTTTGTATTTTTAGTAGAGACGGGGTTTCACCGTGTTAGCCAGGGTGGTCTTGTTCTCCTGACCTCATGATCTGCCCGCCTCGGCCTCCCAAAGTGCTGGGATTATAGGTGTGAGCCACCGTGCCCAGCCACTGGGTTGCTTTCTGAAGTTTTCCATCTGTGGTTCCAGTGTAGGAACAGCATTTAGTGACTCACTAGCACAGTATGAAGTGTTCAGTTAAATTCCTCCAGCCTATTTGATCTCTCTTAGGGGATTCCAGACACAAGAAGAGGAGGTTATGAGCATTGCTGAGCAGGGCCACCCACAATAGGAATTTCTGTCATCTCTGGGGGATGAGGGTCTTGGGAGTGCCTTATTGCCTGGAGCCCCTCACCACAAAGGTCCCTGAGAGCTCCCTTTGTTTCCTGAGAAGTTAATGATTGTGGATCAGAGAAGAAAGTCTTACTGGGGAGGTAGGGATAGGAGAGAAGCCTCATTATTAGGGAGCGAGAGCATGCACAGGTGTGAGAGGAGACTTGGTAACTCCACAGCAACGGATCCAACTAGAGGCCACTTATTGCTGGGTGCTGGTTGCCAAGCAACCCCTGGAGACCTTGTGGGAATAGAAGAGTGGAGGGGGCTTCCACCACCTCTATGTGGGGCCCATTGCAGAGGCTGTCTGGTGCTGATCAAGAGAACAATCCAGAGGATTGAGCTCACCTAGGACTCTGGGTCCTGGATTCTAGTTTTTGTTTTTTTGTTTGTTTGTTTGTTTGTTTTTTGTTTTTTGGGTTTTTTTTTTTTGAGATAGGGTCTAACTCTGTTTCCCAGGCTGGAGTACAGTGGTGCGATCTCAGGTCACTGGAACCTCTGCCTCCTGGCTTCAGGTGATCCTCCCACCTCAGCCTCCCTAGTAGCTGGAACTACAGGTGTGCCTGGCTATGCCATGCCTGAATAAATTTTGTATTTCTTGTAGAGACTGAGTGCAACCAGCACCCAGCAGTAAGTGGCCTCTAGTTGGATCTATTGCTGTGTTGGTGATGATTTAAAAGCTCTTAGTGTAACTAAAGACATACATAGATAATGTGCATAAAGCACTAACATAGTGCATGGCACAGAGTAAACACTCAACAAATCGTAGTTTTTATTAAGGTTCTAGGGAGATTGATAAATAGCATTCCTTTTCTTCCCCACCTAAACCCATTGAGAAATAGATGCAGGAGTCAGAGAGATGGGGCGTAATGGAAAAAAAAAAGCCTTATTACTCATTAAAGCGAGGATGAAGCCATGGCTAAAGTCTTCCGGCAAGTGCAGCTTGCTCATACTTTACTCTGGAGTCAGAAAGACACACAAACCCAGTCATAGGCCAACGTGGGCCGCTGGCTATAATTAGCCCGTACACCATTCACTCAAAGTCAAAGTCCATGTGGCCCAGATTTACTAATATTTAAGGCCTAAAGCATTCCACTCAGGTCTGTAGGAGAAGCCTCTGTCTCCATGGACAGCCTTCCTCATAGACAGAGAAAGGAGGGTCCCTCCTCCAACAGCTCTTTTTTAAATTATCATTTTATTCATGTATTTAATGTTGAGACAGGGTGTCCGAGGCTGGAGTGCAGTGGTATGCTCATGGTTTACTGCAGCCTCGACCTCCTGGGCTTAAGCAATCCTCCCACCTTAGCCTCACCAGTAGCTGGGACTATAGGTGTGTGCCACACCATGCCTGGCTAAGTTTTGTATTTTTTGTAGAGACAGGGTTTTGTCATGTTCCCCAGGCTGGTCTCAAACTCCTGAGCTCAAGTGATCTGCCTGCCTAGGCCTTTCAAAAGTGCTGGGATTACAGGTGTGAGCCACTGCTCCTGCCCAATAGCTCTTACTATAATTAAAGACATAGATAAGAGTGACCATGGGTTCCAAAGGAGGGTTAGACAGAATGACAAACAATGGGACAAACAAGAGGAGTCTTAAGAGATTTCCTGGGAATCTGAATTCCACAGTGATGTGAGTAACTCCTCATATAAACAGGAACTGAGAACAAGGTCAAGGTGAGATGGGGTGCTGGGCAGTCAGCAAGGTTCGCTTATCAGTCATCTGCCTTATGTCCACACAGCAGCCTCCATGAAATGTTAGGTCACAACATGGCTTTGGAGTCATTTATAAATATTAAAGCTAGTGAGTATTAAATCTGGGAATGTCAAGGATCTGTATCTTAGGGCCAGTAATATAAGAATAGCTGAAATGTAAGGGAGTGTAGGAATGTGGGAAAGGTAATCATACCAGAAACTTGGAAGAAGGAGGATTGTGGCTCTTCAGCAGCCATTTAACAAATATTTACTGTGCCAGATTCTGGGGATAGAGATATTAATATAAATGTGACATTCCCTGCTCTCCAGGAATTAATGAGACTGAAATTATGAGCCCAATAAATGAATACCATAGCTCTCTTGTTCTGATTAGGGGAAGAAGAATAGGATATCAAGAGACTTTTCCCTAGAATTTAAGAATGTACAGTCATGGATTATTATATGAGATTGGGTAGCTGTCTAATAGGCTTCTCTATTAGTTTCCTGTTGCTGCACTAAAATTACTACAAACTTAGTGGCTTAAGACAACACAAACTTACTATCTCACAGTTCTGGAGGTCGGAAGTCTAAGGTGGGTCTCACTGGGTTAAAATCAATTTGTTGGCTGGTTTCAGTCTGTGTTCTCTCTGGAGGGCCTCATCTGGGGGGCATCTTTAATTTGCCTTTTCCAGCTTCCAGAGGCTGCCTACATCCCTTTGCTTGGGGCCCCTTCTTCCATCCATCTTCAAAGCTGCAGTGGAACATCTTCCAACCTCTCTGAACCTCCTCCTTGTCTCTTATAAAAACACTTGTGATTATAATGGGCCCACCTAGGCATTCCAGGTCAATCCTGCATTTTCAAGATCCTTAATTTAATCCCATTTGCAAAAATCCCTTTTGCCATGTAAGGTAACATATTCACAGATTTTAGGGATTATATATTTGGGAGACTATTATTCTGACTACTACAGCATCTGTTAGTAACATATAAAAGACCTGGTTGGGCGTGGTGGCTCATGCCTATAATCCTAGCACTTTGGGAGGCCAAGGCAGGAGGATCACTTGAGCTCAGGAGTGAGACCAGCAACATACTGAGACCTTGTCTCTACAAAAAATTTAAAAATAAGCTGTGTGTGTGGTGGCATGTGCCTGTAGTCCCAGCTACTCATGAGGCTGAGGCCAGAGGATCACTTGAGCCTGGGAGGTCAAGGCTGCCTTGAGCTATAACCACACCACTGCACTCCAGCCTGGGTGACAGAGCAAGATCCTATCTCAAAAAAAAAAAAAAAAAAGAAAAAGAAAAGAAAAGAAAAAGGAAAATACCTGATATAAATTCCCTCATCCTTTAAGACTCTGAAGCAGGTAATGTCCATGTTTTAAGTTCACACTGCTGATTAAGATTTCCTGTTACCTTGTTAGGTGTCAACAAGCCTGTGAATTTAGAGCACATCACATCTCAGTCTCTCATTTTATTTAATTTAATTAATTAATTTATTTTTTGAGGTGGAGTTTTGCTTTTGTTGCCCAGGCTGGAGTGCCATGGCATAATCTTGGCTCACTGCAACCTCCACTTCCTGGGTTCAAGCGATTCTCCTGCCTCAGCCTCCCGAATAGCTGGGATTACAGGCATGTACCACCATGCCTGGCTGATTTTTCTATTTTTAGTAGAGACAGGTTTTCACCACGTTGGCCAGGCTGGTTTCAAACTCCTGACCTCAGTTGATCCTCCTGCCTCGGCCTCCCAAAGTGCTGGGATTACGGGCGTGAGCCACTGTGCCCAGCCTCAGTCTTTCATTTTAGACAGGAGGAGGCTGAGGCTCAGAGTGAGATAGGGACTTTACTGAGGGCTCATGGTGATGTCCCTTGACCCATTCCAGTGCTCTTCCTGCCACCTTCAGGAAGGTGCAATCTCGTCTTGAGTGTAAGCTGGAGACCTGTGGAGAGATCAGCGGGCAGCACAGAAGAGTCTGGAGGCTGAACAGGGAAACTGGGGCTCTGACAAGTCTCTGTGGCTCCAGGAATGTGAAGACAGTTCCTGAGTACACCATCCTGTGCTCAGCTCTTATGATAATCAGAATTGATTTTTCTAGGCAGCAAGTTTCCTGGTGTGGCTGCAGAAACATGCTGACACTTTTATCTCCCCAAAGCCTGTAGGAACCAGCTGCTGAGGAAGTAAGTTTAATCTGATTTTAAAAATCACAACAAAGACCATGGGGAGTCAAATCAGGCTTAGTTGGCCTCTGTAATTTTCAAATGAATTAACAAGCCATCCTGATTGACTATTGAAGGGGTCTCCAAGACACACTATTTAGGGCCACAACCCCCTTTCCTTCCATCCAAACTGGCATGGGAGAAAAAGAAATAATCTACAAGCCATTTGTGTATTCATTAATCCATTCAATAAACATGTGTCATGTACATATTATATGCGAGGCACTGTCATGAGAGGGCAAAGAAACAGCTACAATGTGATAAAAGCGATGTAATAAAGGGATGAAGAAAGTGTTGTAAGAACAGCTACCTCCACCTGGGAAAATCATTGCAGGTCTCACAAAGGAGGGGACATTTGAGCAGGGTCTTGACAAATGAGTCTGATTTTTTTCAGGTTAATGTAGAGTAAGAGCTTTACAGGTGGAAGAAATGACATTTGCAAGAGCATAATTGCTTTCAAGGACCCTTTGTGTGCCTAGCTGTGCTAGGCTCTGCAGCGATTGGTGAGACAACATCCCTGCCTCTTAGGGGCACTCAGTGAAGCAGAGGAGAAGGGGGATATACACCAGGCACGCACACATTGAAATGCATTGCAGACATTGAGCAGTGGAATGACATGCTCTGTCTTACATTGTTTTAATAAATTTTTAAATCTTTGGGTAATTTTAGGTTTATAGAAAAGTTGCAGTGATAGTGTAGAGTTCCCATGTGTCCTTTGCCCAGTTGCCCTAATGTTAACATTTTATATAACCATGATACATTTGTCAAAACTAAGAAATTGACATTGGTACAATACGATTAAACTACCGTCTTTATTTGAATTTCACTAGTTTTTTTTCCACAAATATTCTATTACCATTGCAGGATCCAATCCAAGATACCGTATTGCATTTAATAATATTTTTTCAATTGACATATACCTTATATACCATAAAATTCACCTTTTTTTTTTTTTTGAGATGGAGCCTTGCTCTGTTGCCCAGGCTGGAGTGCAGTGGTACATTCTCGGCTCACTGCAACCTCCGCTTCCCGGGTTCAAGCGATTCTCCTGCCTCAGCCTCCCGAGTAGCTGGGATTACACGTGCCCCCCACCGCACCCGGCTAATTTTTGTACTTTTAGTAGAGACGGGGTTTTGCCATGTTGGCCAGGCTGGTCTCGAACTCCTGACCTCGTGATCCACCCACCTCAGCCTCCTAAAGTGCTTGGATTACAGGCGTAAGCCACCGGGCCAGCCAAAATTCACCCTTTTAAACAGTATAGTTCAGTGATTTTTAGTATATTTACAGACTTATGCAACTATCATCACTAATTCCAGAACATTTTAACATTTTAGTGACTTACATCTTTCTTTCTTTCTTTTTTTCGTTTCTTTTTTTTTTTTTGAGACAGAATTTCACTCTGTCACCCAGGTTGGAAGTGCAGTGGCGCAATCTCGGCTCACTGCAACCTCTGCCTCCCAGGTTCAAGTAATTCTCGTTCCTCAGCCACCTGAGTGGCTGGGATTACAAGTGTGTGCCACCATGCTAATTTTTGTATTTTTAGTAGAGACCATGTTGGCCAGGCTGGTCTTGAACTCCTGGTCTTAAGTAATCCACCAGCCTTGGCCTCCCAAAGTGTTGGGATTACAGGCGTGAGCTACTGCGCCTGGCCAGGTGACTTACATCTTAACACTTAACAGGATTTCTCTGAGGCAGAGTTATGCCTGTTTCAAGAATAAATTATGAAGAGCAAAGTGCAGAAGCAGGGAGAACCAGTTAGGATTTGTAACAATTGAGGCTGGGAATGATGGTGGCTTGAACTAGGGAGGTAGTAGCGGTAGTAGTGAGAGTAGTCAGATTTTGCATGTATGTTGAAAATACTGAATATTGAATTAGATGTGGAGAGAGAAAGAAGGAGAGAAGTCAAGGATGTTGCTGAGGGTTTGGGCTGAGCGACTAGAAGTTTGGAGATTCCTCTAACTGAGATGGGGAAGACTGCAGGAAGAACAGGGTTTAGAGAGAGAGAGTTGGGGATTCAGTTTGGTTATGCTAAGTTGGAGATACCCGTTAGATAACCAAGTAGAGATATGGAATAAGCAGTTGGATAAATGAGTCTGCATGTATATGTTAGCAAGTAGTATTTTAAATGATGAGACCAAATAAGATTAACAAGGGAAAGAGTGAAGGCAGGAAGAAGAAAAGGTTCACAGACTGAGCCCGGAGACATTCCAACACCAAGGTGTTGGGAAGATGAGGGAGAATCGGGAAAGGAGACTGAAAAAGAGCAACTGAAATGAGAATGTGTGGTGTCCTGGCAGCCAAGTGAAGATAGTTTTTCAGAGGAAGGAGAGATCAACTGTGTCAAATATGGCTGCTAGGTTATGAATATGGGAACTGAGGATTGACTGCTGTATTTAGCAACATAGAGTACATTGATAACCTTGATACAAGTTGTTTTGGTGGAGTAGGAGGGGTGAAAGCCTGGTAAAAATGGCAGAAGAGAAATTGGAGACACCAAGTATGACACAGCACTTTGAAGGATGTTTGCTCTAAAGAAAAGGAGACAATTGGGGTGGTAGCTGAAGGTGAATGGGGAAGTGAATCAGAAGAGGTTTTTGTTTTTTTAAGATTTGAGAAGTAGCAGCACGTTCGTATGGTGGTAGAACAATTGAATAGAGATCAACAAAGCAAGCCAACAAAGAAACAAAAATACAAAGCTGATGATTTGGAAACAAAGGAGAACTGCTGGGACAATATCCTTGAACTGGGGAGAGGGGATAGGATTACATGCAGAGGGTGAGTCCTTGGTAGGAGCACAGACTGTGCACCTACATTCCCAGGGGAGAAAGCAGAGGGTTTGGGCACAGGTGCAGCTTGGGGTTCCATGTGCTGGTTCGAGTTCTCTTAAGTACAATTTTCTGATGAAGCAAGGTCATCAGTGGAGAGTGAAGATGAGGGAGGAAGTTTGGAGAGTCGAAGAGAGAGGAGAATGTCATTTAGGAAGGTGGGAGAGTGAATAGACTGTGGAAATGTAATTTGATTGCTGATTAGCATTAAGACTTCATTTGAAATTAGTGATCATAAATTTAAATTCATCAGCTCATGAATTTGAAGCATGGTTGTGTGTTTTTCTCCAGCCATGTTTTGCTCTGAGGATAAAGGCATAGAATAGGCAAAGAGTTGACTTTAAGTAAAGTGTGGTTTTGCTGAGTATAACAAAGCAAGAGGGCCTGGGGAGTCAGGGGCATGTGAAGGGAGGCTGTTGTCATGATTGACCTTAGAATTCAAGTTGGGCCAAGAGGGAGGTAACAACACAAGGGATGAAGGACAGTGAAAAGGTGGTAGGGAAAGAAGACTGTTGATGCTGGGAATCTACAAGGAGTGAGCTGGAAAGAGCATAGTGGTCTGAGTATGAGAGGCTTGAAATTACTATTGGTAATGATAAGGTCCAGGATATGACTGTGAGAGTGAGTTACTGAGGTGGGGTCAGAGATCAATATCACTGGAGGAGAAGCATTCAAGGAAATGAGAGTCCAAGGTGATGGAAGCCTCATCTATGTGGATATTGAAATCACCAAGAATTATGGAGAGAGTAACAGTGAAGCAGAAGCTGTTCACTGGCCAGTAGAGGGATAAGTGGGTGGTATAATCTCATGATATTGAAAGCTGGAGGTGTTTTGTTTTGTTTTTTTGAAGGAGGGAAAGAGAGTGATATGAAAGCAGGGGTGAGAAGCAACAACATCTATCCCACCTCCAGCCCGCTGATTCAAGGGTGATGAGAGAGGAAGTGAGCAACAATTTAGAGGCTTTAGGAGAAGCCATGTCCTCAGGGAGAGCCGGGCTTTGATTACAGCAAGGAGGTAAAAGAAACGTTCGGATGAGAGGCTGAGCAAAAATAGATTTTTCTGATGACTGACTGAATTTCAGAAGACTCAGAGAAAGGTTTCAGTGGGGAGGGGAGGAGACAGTGTTAGAAAAGATGATGATGTACTGAGCTATATGGCAATTGGAGTCCAGTGATCAGGGATGGCTTTGGAGACATGGGCTTCTTGCCATAATTGACATGAACAGAGGGATAAAGAGAATACAAAACAAATTATAAAGCAGACAGGTGGTCCCAGGACAGACAGTGGTTGTGTGGCGTGTGTGGGAGGATCCCTGCTTCCTTTTGATCCCTGCATTTAGAGGCCCAGAGTCTGGCAAAAGTGCCATTCTTATTCTGAATGCCTGGCATCCCTCTTGACTTCACACATCAATAATTGTGGCAATGAACAGCAGCTTTCATTTAGACCTTCACCTGTAAATGGGACTAATACTATCTCCCACAAAGCTGATGTGAGCTGACAGTGGCACGGGCTTTCATGCCAGCACTGTGCTCAGTGCTTTTATGAACTGATTTCATCCTGACACTAACCCTGTGAACTAGGTGCTGTTATTATCCCCATTTTACAGAGAAGTAAACTGAGGTCCAGAGGAGTTAGATGGCTGTCTCAAGTTCACACAAATAGTAAGTGGCAGAGTCCAGATTTGAATCAGGGTCTATCTGGCTTCAGTCTGGGTGCAGTGGTTCATGCCTGTAATCCCAGCACTTTGGGAGGCCAAGGCAAGTGGATCATTTGAGGTCAGGTGTTTGAGACCGGCCTTGCCAACATGGTGAAACCCTGTCTCTACTAAAAATACAAAAATTTAGCGGGGCTTGGTGGCTGACACCTGTAGTCCCAGCCACTTGGGAGGCTGAGGCAGGAGAATCACTTAAGTTCAGGAGGCGGAGGTTGCAGTGAGCCGAGATCGCCCCACTTCACTCCAGCCTGGGTGACAGAGCGAGACTGTCTCAAAAAAAATAAAAATAAAAATAAAGGTCTGACTGTCTTCAAAACCCATGTATGGAGTTTTGAACCCCTTGTTATATCTTCACATAGGTAAAGCACTCTGTAAATGGTGAAATTGTTAATAATTACAATTTTTGGGCAGCAATTACATACTTTACAGGTGCTTTACTTGCAGTTTTTCCCTTATAATTATCACAGTGATGGTGCCCAGAACAGATGAGGAAACTGAGACTCAGAGAAGTTAAGGGACTTGACCAAATCTTACCAAGCCTGGAAAATAGCACATCTGGGACTCAAAATTAGGGATGTTTGCCACCAGAGTGTTCTTTTCACACCAAACTGCCTTCCCCACTCTTTCCACTGCCCTGTGGTACCCCAGGGACCTCACAGGTGGTTGAGAGTCAACGTCACAGCTAAAAATCAGAACCTCCAAACAAACACTCTCAGAAACGGAGGTGTTATCTGTTGCAAACTATCACCTTTTAGTTACCAGCTCCCCTCCTTTTCTACCAGCCCTCCTCTCTCTCTGTCCCACTACAACTTCACAGGGGAGTCTAATGGGCATCCAAGATTGAGCAACACCAGTGTATAGGTATGTAATTAAGTGACTTGGCACTGAATGTAGTGGTCTCTGAAGAAGCTGCTGCATGTTCTGGGCATAGGGTGAAAGGAGTGGTTGGGGGCTTAATTACTTCAGCTGTGGTGTAGGTGGAATGAACACATGGTACCAGCAGTGTGATAAGTAATGTCTCTGAACCTCTGTTTCCTCAGCTGTAAAATAGAAGAATATTAATGCCTACTTCTTAGTGTTGTAGTAAAGATTGAATGAGATCATATAGGGAAAGGATCTAGCATGGAGCCTGTAACATATTAGGTGCTAAATAAACTTACCCAAAGTCATACAGTGAAGGGGAGAGCCAGGATTAGCTCATGAGGTTTCTATTATGCTGTACTACTGTGACTGATCTTAGGGTTACCACCACTTTAAGATTGCGAGCCACAGGACTTACAAGGCGGAGTCATCAACAGAGAAATTAGTTGTGAGTTGTGGCCCTTTTACTCCCATTTTCAATGGATGGAGAGAGCAGCAGTGCTCTGCCCCTGAAGACGTCCAGTTGCCATCTAAGGCTGGAGATTCTCCTAGCCTGCTTGGAACCTGCCTGATGTGTTGCTAAGGACAGGGGTGGGATGGGGGAGGCCATTCAACTGAGGATTTATAATCCCTTCCTTCTGCAGAATCCTCCTTCCCCCACACCGTTGCCCAACACCATTGCCCCACACCTTGGGTTGCCAGGCGACAGCTGGAAACTCTTATCCTGTCTGTGCTCCTGTGCTTCTCACCTTCCTCTGTGAAGTCTGTCAGCTCTGTGCTAATGACGCAGGGGCTCTGTGCTGAGGCCCAGATGGCTGGGAGGGCAGGTCCCAGGGGATACAGTGCCCCCTCTCTTGAGTGCCCCACTACTGCCCCCAGCTCAAAACTAAGGGTCATCCTTTACTCCTCTCTGCTCTTGTCATATTCATCTGATTGTTCATGAGAAATATCCATTCTATTTCCCCAATTTCTCTTGAACGCATCCCCTGGTCAGTTCTGTTCCATAAACATTTATTGAGAGCAGACTGTGAGCCTAGCTCTCTCCTTTGCCCTTTCCTACCTTAGATTCCTGTTCTCCCCCTTGGACTGCAGCTGCCCGGTGGCACTCCCTGCCCTCAGGCTTGCCCTCCATAATCGCTGTCACTCCAGTGCCTAAAATCCAGGGGGGCTCTCCTGCATCCCCCTCAACACATTCTTGGCCCTTTCTGCCTCCCCAACCCCATCTTCACCCTTCAGGCAGTCCATGCACCACCCACGTGTACTCTAAACCCCCAACCCAACCACAGGATGCAGTTTTAAAAAAACAAAACCTTTATTTTTTAGAACAGTTTCAGATTTACAGAATTGCAAAGATAGTATGGAGAGTTCCCATTTACCCGACACCTGGTTTTCCCTGTTATTACCATCGTACATTAGTATGGTACATTTGTTATAATTAACCAATATCGATATACTATTATTAGCTAACATCCCTAGTTTATTCCACTTTCCTTAGATTTTACCTACTACTCCTTTTCTGTCCCAGGATCCCATCTAGAACACAACTGATCTGAATTGTCGTGTCTCCTTAGGCTCTTCTGGGCTGGGAGTCGGGATGCACTTTTTCACTCCTTGCCTTGCCCAGGTTGTTTCCTCCTCTCTAGAGATTCCCCCTCTACCCACATTTCCTTTTTGTTTCTCTTCCTTTTTTTGGAATAGGGTCTTGCTTTGTCAGCCAGGCTGGAGTGCAGTGGTGTGAACATGGCTCACTGCAGCCTCGACCTCCTGGGCTCAAGCCGTCCTCCCACCACAGCCTCCAGAGTGGATGGGACCCTAGGTATGTGCCACCACACCCGGCTAATTTTTTTATAGAGACAGGGTCTCAGTTTTTTGCACAGGCTGCCTTGAACTCCTGGGCTCAAGTGATCCTCCTGCCGAGGCCTCCTAAAGTGCTGAGATTACAGGCATGAGCCACTGCACCTGGCCTCCTCCCCCATTTTCTATCAGCAAACTCCCATTTGACTTTGAAGACTCAGTTCAAGTATCATCTCTTCTGGGAAACCTTTGATGACCCACCTCCCCGCAACTCAGTGGCAGTTAAGGACCCTCCTTAACTTTCCATACTAACCAGCTGTATTGCATGTGTCTGGAACTCACCTGTCTTCCTCCCAGACTGCATGCTCCCTGAGGGCAGGGACCGGGTCTGACTCGGGTCTACAGCTCCAGCACCAGGCACAGGGCCTTGCCAATAGTAAGGGTTTAACAAAGACTGGCAAAATGAAAGTGAGTGCTCAAGCTAAGGCTGTATACCTCTCAAAGTTGAGGCTATCTCTTCTCTCTGCACTTGCAGTGCCTGATCTCTCTCTTGGCCTCAGATCAAGTTTTGTGCCACCCCCACCCCTATCAGTTCTGCCCCTCAGTGGCTGGGAGGTCTGAGGCTCCTCTTGGGTTAGCCTCTCTAGAATGAGTAGGCCACTTTCTTTTCTTTTTTTTTTTTTTGAGACTGAGTTTTTGCTCTTGTCGCCCAGGCTGGAGTGCAATGGCGCAATCTCGGCTCACCGCAACCTCCGCCTCCCGGGTTCAAGTGATTCTCCTGCCTCAGCCTCCCGAGTAACTGGGATTACAGGCATGCGCCTCCACGCCCGGCTAATGTTGTATTTTTAGTAGAGACAGGGTTTCTCCATGTTGGTCAGGCTGGTCTCGAACTCCTGACCTCAGGTGATCTGCCCACCTCGGCCTCCCAAAGTGCTAGGATTACAGGCATGAGCCACCGCGCCCGGCCGAGTATGCCACTTTCTTACCGGCTTTCCTCTCAGCACCACTGTGGACACCAGTCCAGTCTGATCATCTGATACATATGAGATCTCATTTGATCACAAGAGGAGGTCTTGTCATCCTCATTATACACTTGAGGAAACTGAGGCCCAGAGGGTAAAGGGTTGTACTTTATTAAAGTTGACAAATGGACTAAGTGGGCCCTGAATGCAGGCTTTTGGGACTCATTCCCTTGCCTGGGATCTTCCTACTGGACCCTACTTCTGCATATAAAAAGTGACACCTAACCTCAGTCAACAATTAAATGCTGTACTAGAGCCATCCCAGGACATCCCAGCCTCCTCTGTGCCTGGCTGAACCCCTCAGGTTCTTCAGCTAGAACATGGGGAGGAAGAGATAAGGAAGGTAAGAGAGAAGAGAAAGGGAAGATAGAGAAAATTGGTGGCAATTCTGAGGTTGGACCCTGTGTTCAGGCTGCCACGAGGTGCCATTTTGTGAGGAGAGAATATGTCCTCTCAGGATACCGGCCTCCCCCACCGGTGTGTTGCCGTGTCAACTGATTGAGCCCAAAGGCTGGCTTGGAAATTTACCACCAACGGAGGCTTAATTAGCCCTTTAATTTCCTTCCAGCGGAAGTTTGCTCAGGTGGTTCCTAGCCCTGCTTTCTTGGGCTCCTCCCTCCTCTCACTTTCCTACAGCTCTAGCTCACCAGGAATCTGAGGCCCATTCTGGGTGTTGACACCAGGGGGAAGAGCAGCAGATTACTGAGGGCAAACAGTAAATTAAATGAACACGACTGTTTATACAGAACTTTACCAACACACTGTCACAACACTTATCTTACTTTATCCTCCCAACAATACCAAGAAAAGGATATTATTATGAAACCTGTTTTGCAGTTAACAGATCTGCAGCTCAGAAAGTCAAAGACAGCAACTGGTCCAAGGTCACATGCCAAGAAGTGGCAAAGCTAGAATTTGCTTGACCCCAAAATCCATACTCTTTCTGCTGCCCTTCACACTGTCT
The DNA here is from genome assembly GCF_000001405.40 of Homo sapiens. Classification (NCBI taxonomy): domain Eukaryota; kingdom Metazoa; phylum Chordata; class Mammalia; order Primates; family Hominidae; genus Homo; species Homo sapiens. The sequence continues at coordinate 51,957,422 of NC_000001.11, read as the reverse complement.
GTTCATTAAGTGCTTACAGTGTTTAATGAAATGACACATAAGTGCTGAAGGAACACTAAAATTAAGGGGGGAGGATGAGAATGAGGGTAATTTTAAGAGGCTTCTTGGAGGATGTGATAAGGACAGAAGTGGGTGCCAAAGTGCAGGGAATATTGTTAAAATATATTTTTGTCTTGTTCCCATAGGGATTTAAAGTGGCAGGAAAAGATCGACAGAGTGAGGGCCTGCACCGTTTTTTTCTTCCTCCTGGTTTGGTCCTGACTCTAGCCTAAGTTTTCCACCAGTTGTGCTGCTACAGATTATCTCCCAGCAGTTCATTTGATCACTCAAGAACAAACAGACAAAACCATGAAAAGAGTTTATATAGACTTTACATAAAAACCACTAGAAGATTTTATAGTCTGGTGGAAAGACAAGCACGTTGGCAATTCATATACACAGTTTCATTGGAGAGAGGATAGAAGAGAAGTTAGGAAGGCTGTGAAGTTTGACTTTCTGGCTCGGGTCTTTTACCAGCTGTATGGCTTCAGGCAAGGTGTTTAATCTCTGAATCTCATTACTTTATCTGTAAAATAAGTATGAAAATGGGACCTCGCTCAGAAAGTTGTAAGAATTAGCACAGTGCCTGGCACAGCCCGTCTAAACAAATGGCAGCCAGTCATTATTTCTGCCTGTGGGTATGGGAGGAAATGCGAGTCATACAGGAGGAAGCATTTGAGCTGAATTGGAATGGTAATTAGCGACTGCCTTGGCAGGGAAGGGGAAAAGGCTGATCCAGGCAGAGGGTGCAGCATGAGCAAAGCACTGAGACTTAGAGGAACACAATGTTTGGGGCCTATGGAGTTGTCCAGGTTGGTCAGAACCTGAGGAGAAAAGAATGGAGAGGGGTGGCAAGAGCTGAAGGCAGTGAAATTGTTAGGTTAGAAAACCAGGGATAAGTTTAGCATCCTAGCAGGCAGTATAACTTAGGGGTTAAACTCCCAGCTCTGACATTTGCTAACCTGGGCAAGTACTTAACCTCCCTGTGCCTCTCAGTTTATTTGTCTTACTCCAAAGAGCTGGTTATGAAGACTGATGAAGTAGTGCATGAAAAGTGCTTGTCACAGTGCTTGACACTTAGTAAGTACTCAATTCGTGTTAACAATTATTATTATTTGATTATAACAATTATTACTATTTATCCTGACTCCTTAGAGCTAGAAGGGGCCTTAAAAAAGTAATCTAGTCTAATATCCCTATTTAAAGAGGAGAATCCAAGGCGCAGGGTGCACAGTATTCATAAGCCCACAAAGCAAGTTAGTGGTAGGATTAAACCATACCCAGGCCTCCTGCCTCCCAGCCTTACAGCTGTGTGGCTCCCTTGCCATTCATTGTCAGGCTGCCTCTGACAGGCTCTTCCTCGCTCCTCAGATGTTTGTCCCCTGTCCCTTGTAAATAAATTTCAAGGCATTTGCTTTGTGGAGATGAGTGTTGATCCTATTTTTAGAACACTCTGCCACCTGTATGCAAATGATCCTCAGGGGACTCGTCTGCTATGGTGACTTGGGCCAACTCCTGAAAGAAAGCAGCTATGAGACCAGAGGGAAAACAGCCCAGGGTAGGATGGGGATCCTGGACTCCTGATTTCTCTATCTAGTTAAGTCTCTGAACTCCTCTTGCCTGCTCTGTATATGTTAACTCCTTGTGTCTCCATTTGGAAATGAGTTCAGAAATAGGTCCCTGGGGCCAGGCGCAGTGGCTTATGCCTGTAATTCTAGCACTCTGGGAGGCTGAGGCTGGCGGATCACTTGAGGTCGGGAGTTTGAGACCAGCCTGGCCAACATGGTAAAACCCTGTCTCTACTAAAAACATAAACATTAGCTGGGTAGCTGGGTGTGGTGACACATACCTGTAATCGCAGCTACTCAGGAGGCTCAGGCAGGAGAATCGCTTGAACCCGGGAGGCAGAGATTGCAGTGAGCCAAGATTGCGCCACTGCACTCCAGCCTGGGAGACAGAGGGAGACTCTGTCTAAGAAAAAAAAGAGTAAGTAAGAGTAAGTCCCTGGGCCAGGTGCCAAGCCAAGGTTTTGGCTTTGGAATGTCATGTCAGAGGGTGCTGTAGAACCCAGGGCTGTGGGCATTCACATCGGCTATGGTGTTGGCTCAGCTTCTGGAGAAATATTTATTGTTTTCAGGAAAATAGAAGTAATTGGGGGATTAGAGGGAGAAAAATCACCTTAATATACAACCCAATGATTCTGCCCTGCAAAACGGGAGAGAACTGGAACTCATGAGATGACAAGAAGGAGAGGGAGGGCAAGGCCTCAAACTTCGCTCATAAAGGTCAACGCCCCCTGGCCTTTGGCAGAAGCAGCAGTGACCTGATCCTCAGTGGCCTTACTATTTAGCACACACTAACTGAATGTCTTCCGGGTGATAGGCCCTATGTTGGACACACTAAACCCTTCAGTGGCTTTCTGTTCTCGTCAGGACGACATCCAAGCACCTTGACCTGGCATTCAAGACCTCCGTGATCTAGCTACAGCCTCACTTCCTACTTCCTCTCCTGTCTACTATTTTAAGTACTATGTTTCCAGGAATCTAAGATGCTATCAATTCTAAGATACATCCTTTTTTAAAGATATTAAAATGTGAAAAAGTGGACATCTGAGAATCTATGAAATATGGTATTTTACAAACCATTGAAAATGGAACTGCTTGCTTTCTCCCCAGATGCTGTGCTGTTTCAGGCTTCTCTATTTTTTTAAGCTATTTTATTATGGAAAATTTCAAACACACACTCGAGTAGGGAGAATAAGTAGTACATGAACTCTGTCCTCCAGCTACAACAGTGATCCACTCATGGTTGGTTCACATGCTTTTCCTATACTTCCTTCTCCCTGGACTGGTAATAATAATAAGAATAGCAACTGCCAGTGCTTACTAAGGATTTAGTTTTTTTCTTAAATGTATAAGTTAATATATGCTTATTTAAAACATATTTTGAAATCACAGCCAAGCATAAAGAAGAAAATGTTACTGACATTTGGGTTGGTGGTTGGTTCCTTTCCAGTTTCTTCTCTATGAATTTTTAACATAGTTGAGGTCAGATTATATATTCAATTTTATTAAACATAGCATTATAACATAAGCGTAGCTAACATTGTTAGAAAATCTTTATATGTTTTTGATGAGTTCATTGTACTTTATACAAAAGATGAACCATATCCATTCATTCATTCATCCAGCAATATTTGTTGCACTTACCACGTGTCAGGCACTCTCAACAGTGGTAAAAGAGTGAGGCCCATTCTCTGGCCTCTCAAAGCTCAGTTTCCCCCCATTGTTTGACATTCAACTACTTTCCAATTTGGAGCTGTTATCAATAATGTTGCAGTGATTATCCCTGTGTGTAAAACTTTTCCTAGGTTTCAGATGATTTCCTTTAGACAGATTCTCGGTAGTGAAATTCCTATTTTACTTTACCTTTGTGAACACTGAATGTTATCTTAATTTTAGTTTAGCTAATTCAGTAGGTTAAAAAAGTATCTCATAATTTCAATTGCATTTCTTTGATTATTTATCGAATAAATCATCTGTATATTTATTAACCATTAGGTATTTTTTAGTTTTTTGTTTTTAAGATGGAGTCTTGCTGTGTCATCCAGGCTGGAGTGCAGTGGCACGACCTTGGCTCACTGCAACCTCCACCTCCCAGCTTCAAGTGATTCTCCTACCTCAGCCTCCCAAGAAGCTGGGACTACAGGCGTGCGCCACTGCACTCAGCTAATTTTTGTATTTTTAGTAGAGACGTGTTAGTATGTTGGTCAGGCTGGTCTCGAACTCCTGAACTCAGATGATCTGCCCGCCTTGGCCTCCCAAAGTGCTGGGATTACAGGAGCAAGCCACCGTGCCTGGCCTACCATTAGTTTTTGTGAATTGTCTTTTGACAAGAGTCTTACTTTTATCACCTGCAATTTCTCAGCACAAGGCCTGACTCTGTTCATTTCCTTTTGCTTGCTGTGATCTGGGGATGTATTAAGTATAATCATGTTTCATGCTTCTTTTTTTCCTCCTGGCTCTCTTCCACCTCACTTCTCTCCCCACATTTTCCTGTCTCAAAGGGGAGTTGGGTGAGTCACATAAAGGGTACAGCAGGTGGCATATGAAGTAAATTCCCCAGAGAGACTTCTCAGAATGCTGTGAATGGTGCTGATGTCAATTTGGAGGCAAAAAGAGTGATGAGGAAATGGATTGGCAACTCTGATGCTAAATTTGTCCATGCCAAAGCACTGGGATATTATGAATGATGGTTCATTCTGCAGGCATCTTTAGAATACTGCTATATGCCCAGATGCGTGTGGGGTACTCATAAGGGCTTAATAGCTGGAGAAGACACAAATGAAATAGGTCATAATTAATAGTCAACCATATACATGTTGGATGGTTTCAGGCTAAGTGGAGATGCCCAGCAGACAGTTGGAAATTTCCATCTGAAACTTGAAAGTGAGGGCCCAGGGGAGGATAAGGAGCCAGTGTAGGAGACACAGCAGGAACCGGCAGAGCTGAAGGGAGAGAACAGGGGAAGAGAAACTTCACAGAAGCTGAGGAAAGAGGGAGTTTCCAGAAAAGGGGTGTGTTTGGGGGTGATGTCATGTTTTTAATTTAGGGCAACAAAAAGGTTATATTACCCATCCTTCTTTTATTTTCATTTTTCTTCATTTTTATCTTTTTTCTTCATTTATTCATTCCTTTGTTCATTCCTTTATTCATTTATTCATTCCTTTGTTCATTCAGTATTTATGGAGTACCTTCCAGGTGCCAAGTATTGCATTAGACACTGAGGGTACAGAAACAATAAGGCACAGCCCCTCCTCCAGTCTAAATGAGAGATATAGGTGAGAGTGGAAGCAAATTCCTGATATAGGTGCTATGATCTATTCATTAAAAATATTTATTGAATACCTAAGATATGCCACATACATTGAGGAACAATGCAAGGAAGCCCTATGACCTTCAGCTAATCCACTTGAAGTAAAAAGTAGTGCCTTTATCTTGGTGGAAATCATGGAAATCAATAGCTATATCCATGAGTGTTTTTGAGTTTAGAGTATTTGAGGGCTTTGTGTGAGAGACCAATGCCAAAAATAAGAATACAGGGCATTCATCTCTCTGGGGTCCTGTTTCCCATCTGTGAAATGGGTATGTACACCTCTCATAGGATTCACATGTGTCTAACTTTCCCACTAGACTGTGAGTGTTCTGAGGATAGGGATCACACATGGCACAGGCTAAGATCAGTGAATATATGTGGAATTAATTACTCTCATAAGGGCTTTCTGTCTTTAATGGCCTGTGCTCTGCTGTCACTAAAATAAAGGTCCAAGTACATTCTGTGGAAGGCCAGAAGCAATGGTGATGAATTTAGACAGGGTCCTGAAGGACTTCCCAAAAAAGGTGCACTTTGACCTGGACCTCAAAGATTAGATAGGATTACAGAGGGCAGGGAGGCGCTTTAGAATCCTTAATCCTGGATTCCAGTGACTTCTTTTCTACCCTCTGCCCTCAAGGACCTAACCAGTTGCTACCTAAGTGTTCTTGGACTCCAATTTACTTATTTATTTTTTTGAGACATTGTCTTGCTCTGTCACCCAGGCTGGAGTGCAGTGGCATGTCTATGGCTCACTGCAGCCCCCATCTCCTAGGCTCAAGTGATTCTTCCATCTCAGGCTCCTGAGTAGCTGAGGGACCACAGGTGTAGGCCACCATGCCCAGCTAATTTTTTGATTTTTTGTAGAAACACAGTCTCACTTTGTTGCCCAGGCTGGTCTCCAACTCCAGGGCTCAAGCAATTCTCCCACCTCAGCTGGGATTACAGGCATGAGTGACTGCACCTGGCTGACTCCATTTTTATTACCTGTAAATCAGTAGTGACAATGACACATGGTGGGCTAGAAAGAGCACTGGATGTAGAGTCAGAATATTTGAATTTGAGTCCTGGTTGAGCCTAAAAATAAAGAGCTATGTGGCCTTGGGAAAGTCACTGAGTGTCTAGGTCTCAGTTTTTCTATCTGTAAAAGAAAGGAGTCAGACTGGATGAACTTTAAGATTGATTTCTTCTGGTTCTAAAATGTCTGCATTGGGGACAAGGGCTGCAAAACTGCCCATTGGGTACTATGCTCATTACCTGGGTAATGGGATCAGTCATACCCCAAACCTCAGCATCATGCAGTATACCCATGTAACAAACCTATACATTTACCTCCTGAACCTAAAACAAAAGTTGAAATTGTTAAAAAAAAAAAAAAAAGTCTGCATCACAGAATCATTGTCAGGCTCCTGTAAGATGATGTAATAAAAGTACTTGTAAACTGTAGGGTGCTCTATAATGTGGTCTATATGGCTGAGGACGGATAGCTATAATATTAAGCTAGCTCCAAAGGACCATTTTTACCACTTTCAGTCCTCTGTGTCTCCCAAGCTCTATTGAACTGCTCTTTCCTTCCTAAAGAGCTCTCCCCTTCCAGTTTCCTTCCATTCCCATGGGACATAATGTCTCAGCTCTCAGCTGCTGCAGAAAAACAAAGCACTTGGAGCTGAGCAGCTGTGGGTCGGAGGGTAGCGCATGGGGGAAAGCTAGCTTGAAAGTTCTCATTACCTGCCTCCCTGGTGCTCATCATCCCCATCCACTAATCTTGCCTGGATTGAAGACGGGAAGAGAGAGGAGTCTGGCTGGAGGAATGCACAGGCAACAGGGCACGACCCAGGGATGAAGACCCCAGAGATAACCTCTCACTTTTTGTGTGACCTCTCAAGTTGTCACTGCTCTGGGCCTCCCTTTGTCTATGACATGGAAAGTGCCCAGAAAAAGGAGGTGATATGTATGAGCTCACAGACCCTATTCCAACCAATCCTGAAGTTCTAAATGAGCTTTCCCTTTTCAGCACAGTCAGCCCTTGAGTTTCTTTTGCTAGCATTCTTTTAAGTTCCTAGTATGTGGCAGGTGCTATAGTTGAGGGCCTAATAGTTAGCTAAGTATGACTTGATTTTAGGGTGCTCATAGCCTGAAAGAGGAGACAGAAAAACAAACTGGTAACTATAACAAATGTGATGTGTACAGTGATATTGATAGCAGCAGGAGGCAGACAAATGCCTAGGCAGATAGGGACAGGTCCCTGATGAAACCCCACCTTCAAGCCAAAAACAGCCTGGACTGCTGCTGGTTCTGGATGAAACCCATGACCCAGAGTGAGAACTTGTGTTCCTGTTTGCCCACCCTTTCCTGGTTGGTTCTTTTTGAATAATGCTTTTTAACCAATTAAATGTTGCCTTTTCCAGTAGTACTCATGGCCCACCCCTCACCTGTCCTGTGCCTAAAAATACCCCAGACTCAGCCACACTGGGAGAGATGACTTGACTTTGGGTGAGAGACCCCACATTCCTGATCCCTCTCTACTGAGAGCTGTTTCGTCACTCAATAAAATTCTCCACCCTCATCACCCTACAGTTGTCAATGTGACCTCATTCTTCTTGGATGTGGGACAAGAGCTTAGGACCCTCTGAATGCAAGTACCCAAAAGGCTGTGGCACTGTGGCCCCCTGCCCTCCACTGGTGGAAGGCAGCCACCCCGTGCGACAGAAGCAGTGGTGGGGCCAAGCCAGTCCCGGAGCTGTGGGCTAGAGTGGAGCAAGGAGCTGACTGAGCTGTTAGCATGCCACTGTCTGTTGGGCTGCTGCTGATGGGGCTGCAAGAGCTAATTAGCACACTGTAACACCCCTCTGGAGCTTTGGGGTTGCAGGCACCCCTGCCTGGGCACTGCCACCTTCCCCTTGGGGTGACATGCCTGGTCAAGCCACAAGCCCCTCACAAAGCCTGCTCTCATGTCAGCACTCGGAATGGCTGGCTGGACCCTGCACTTGCTCACTCACACATCCCCTCCCTCCAGGGGCCGAAGGTGCGGTTGCAGTGGCCACGGGATTTGTGCTGGAAGCTTGCCCTCAGTTGCAGCCCTGAGGGCCAGAGTTGATGGGGTGTCTCCTTCTGTGAGCCTGGCAAAGTGACTGAGAAAAATCCTGTGCCGGTGTAATGGCAAACATTTAAAGGGCAGGGGAGGAATTAGTGGGGAAAGAAAGTTAGGGAAAACTTCAGAGGATGTGACCTTTGAATATGTTTGTGAATTATAGAACGCAAGGGCATTCCAGGCAAAGATCAGCATATGCAAAGGCCCAGGGGTGCGAAGGAGCTGCGTGTTTGGGAAACCACAAGTAGTTAAGGCAAAAACTGGAGCTCACTGTTTCAGTTAAGGAATGACAGGAAAGGAACTAGCAGGGAAGCCTGAGCTAGATCCTGAAGGGTCTTTATCTACTGAGAAGCTTGGACTCCATCTTGTAGGCTTTGGGAGGCCAGCAGACGGAGATGGGAAGGTTTGGATTTTTCCAAAGGACCATCTGACATTCTGTGTGCTCTATCCAAATTGTTACAGACACCCCCATACATTTATCCTTTCAACAAATATTTATTGGAACACTCTGGCCCTGTGTTCCAGGTGCTGTGGCATGCACTGGAGATGCAATAGTAAGCAAAACCAGACATCCTGTTCTTGTGGCACTGGTAGTTTGGCAAGGGAGACAGACCTTAATCAAATAATTACACAAATAAATACAAAATTACAGTGGGAGTGAGTGGTACAAAGGAGAAGCTCATGGTGCCAGGAAAGCATATAATTGGAGCATGTGACTTTTCCAGGATGGTCAGCTTCTTTGCTGAGCTGAGCTCTGAAGAGAGAGCATTACCTCAGGGAAGGGCACTAGGAAGGCTCTCTGGGAATGGGCCTCTTCCGCTTCAGAACCCCCACCCAATACATGTTTACCTCCTATGGTAACAGACACTGTAGACTTTAAGCAAGTACCGGCTTGTATTCATCTGTTTGTCTTCAGGACCTAACCAATGCTTGGCACAGAATCAGTACCAAGTGAAGATTTGAAAGAAAGGAAAAGAGAAGTGCCTTTAGGCACTTTAAATAGTTGAAGATAGCAGTACTATCCCCTCAATGGCTAAACATCTTCCTTCACCTGGTTTCAAGTTCCCTTCACTCTTCTCTGGCTGTTCTGCTAATAGTCAAGGCCCCTGTGACAAGAGATTTAAATCAGTGAAGTAGCCTTGTGAAAGAGGATGGTCTGTTGGGAGACAGAAGACCTGGTTTTATTTAAGCCCGTTTTCATGATTTCCTGTCATTCACCTCTTCAAGCCTAAGTTGCCGTTTTTATAGAACAGAGATATTGGTCCTTCTCTCACAGGGTTTCTCAGGGAATAAACTGAGATAATAAGAAAAAAACATTGTAAACTGTAAGAGTTAAGGAAGTGTAAGGATTTGAATATTTGGAGGGCTGCCACATGAGTAAAGAATTAGATTTATTCTTTGTGTCTCCAGAGAACAGTATTAAATCAGTGGGTAGAAATTACTGTATGTAGATTTCAGCTCAACGAAAGGAAGAAATGTTCTAATAATCAGAACTGTCCATCAGTGGAATGGCTGCTTTGTGAGGGGGTGGGTGTCCAAGTTGGAAGCACTCAATACAAGGATGTTGTGGAAGGAATTCCTATTTTAAGTGAGAGGATGGATTGAATGACTTCTAAGGTTTCCTTTTAACCCTAAAATCCAAAAATCTGATGGTCAAGACAAGCAGAGAAGCTGGGAGAGGGTGTATTGTGGCAGAGAGTAGCATGAACAGAGATATAGAGCAGAAATGAATGTGGCATGTGTGACGACCGTGTGGAAAACTTTACGAAGAAATGAAGAGTGTGTGTTGGATCACATGTGATTTCATTTAAGCTTTCTAGGTGATTTCCAATCTTATGCTCTGGTGGAGGGGAGATTGTTGGTCCCTGGAAGCCTTAGACATGGTTAGAGGACTTCCTGTATTGGGAGGCTGCAGAGGATCTTGGGGGCTAAAGAGAATCAAGAATACAAATCAGGTTGGACTTTAGGCTGTGTTGAAAATGCACAGGCTTTGGTCAAGACAGAATTTGAATTTTTTTTTTTTTTTGAGGCAAGGTCCCACTCTGTCACCCAGGCTGATGTGCAGTGTGCAATCTCAGCTCACTGCAACCTCCACCTCCTGGCCTCAAGTGATCCTCCCACATTAGCCTCCCAACTAGCTGGGACTACAGGAGCATGCCACCATGCCCAGCTAATTTTTGTATTTTTTGAAGAGACAAGGTTTCACCATATTGCCCAGGCTGGTCTTGAATTCCTGAGCTCAAATGATCCGTCTGCCTCGGCCTCCCAAAGTGCTGGGATTACTGGCATGAGCCACCGTGCCTGGCCAGAATTTGGATTCTGTCTGCCTCCTTATTGTTTGTGACCCTAGCAATTTACTTAACTTCCATGAGCCTCAGTTAATTCATATATCAACTGGGGACTCAAACTTGTCCTCCTTCAAGCTGATATAACAATTAAGAGAAATGACGTAAACGGCATCCTGGAAACAGCACAAGCTTTGGAATCAGACAGACCAGGTTTGAATCTCAGTCTGAAATGAACTGACTGCAAGATCTTAGGCAAGTTATTTAAAACTTTACCTCATCTGTAAATAGAGATAGTAGTATTTCAGAAGGGTTTTTTGAAAATAAAATAAAATAAGAAAGGTGCCTACTAACATGTGCCTGGCATGTAGTAATGCTCAACTAACAGTGTTATTTTGTTACCACAAATAATGTAATGGGTCTCATATATAAAGCACTTACCAAAGTGCTCAGAACATAGTGGGTGTTCAGTAAACATTAGTCCCCTTCTGTCTTGCCCACATGTCTGTCTGCCACACTGAGCAGGCTATGGGAGACTAGAGCAGTGGTGCTCACTCTCGTGTCTGTTCTCTGGCATAATCCTCTGCCCATATGAAGAGCTCAATGAATGTCTGTTGTGTAGAAGTGAACTGATTTCTCTTGATGACATGGTCTCCTTCCTCAAGTAGCCAGTGAGTCACTCCTCTTTCTTTCTCCTCCTTCCCATCTCCTCTGTGATTCTATTTCTGACTCTCATCAGTAGGAGGAGAATCAATGTTCCTCAGTGTGATTTTTAAAAATAAAAGGGAGAGATTCAGGAGTGATTCTCTGGGCTGCTTTCCATAGAGCACAGGATAGTGAGAGCTGGAGTGTTGTGTTTCCAACCTCGCTTTTCTTTAAGTGAAATAAAAATGTCAACAATATCAACAGTAATAGCAGCACTTACTATGAGCTTTATTGAGCACCTACCATGTGGCCAGTGCTCTGCTAGGCTCTACCCCTACATTATCTGTCATTCTCACACAGTCACTTCAAAGTATAATATTATTATCACCACCTCACAGTTGAGGAAACTAAGGCTCAATTACTTAAAAAAATTAATTTAAAAGTTAAATAATAAATACTTCTATATTTGGATACCTATTATAAGCCAGACACTTAAAAAATATCATATTATGAAAACCCTACCAAGTAGGCATTTTTATTTCCATTCCAGATGTGAGGAAACTGAACCTCAGAGAGATAAAATAACCAACTAGTCCAAAATCACATTGCTGATGAATGGCAGAGCTGGGAGTTAGGCCAAGGCCTGCTCAACTCTTAAGTTCACCCATTCTCTTTCTAACAGGTCATGTTGCTACTCTTTAAGGGAAACATTATATTGACACTCTGGCTGGAGGCAGCCCTGGGTAGGTTTGAATGGAATGGGAAATGACACATATAGCATGAGACCCATCCACTCTAGCAGGGCAGACCCTGGGAAGCTGGCCCTGCTCCTGGAACTGCCTTTGGAAGTGCAAAAACAATAGCTGATGCCTATGTGGTATTTACTACACAGCAGGAACTGTTCTAAGCATTTCGCATATAATAACATTATTAATCCTCACAAAACTCTGAGGTAGGTACAGGCATACCTCGGATATGTTGCAGGTTCAGTTCCAGATCACCATAATAAAGTAAATATTGCAATAAAGCAAGTAACATGAATTTTTTGGTTTCCCAGTGCATATAAAAGCCACGTTTATACTGTAGTAGTCTATTAAATGTGTAGTAATATTATGCCTAAAACAATTTACATACATTAATTAAAAAATACTTTAGGCCAGATATGGTGGCTCAGGCCTGTAATCCTAGCACTTTGGGAGGCTGAGGTGGGAGGATCACTGGAGCCCAGGAGGTTGAGGCTGCAGTAAGCTATGATCTCGCCACTGCACTCCAGCCTGGGCAACAGAGTGAGACCCTGTTTCAAACAAACCAACAAAATACTTTATTGCTAAAAAATGCTAACAATCATCTGAGCCTTCAGTGAGTGTTAATCTTTTTGCCAGTGGAGGGTCTTGCCTTGATGTTCATGGGTGCTGACTGATCAGGTTGGTGGTTGCTGAAGACTGGGGTGGCTGTGGCAATTTCTGAAAATAGGGCAACAGTGAAGTTTGCTGCATCGATTGATTCTTCTTTTCATGAAAGATTTCTCTGTTGCATGGTGATGCTGTTTGATAGCATTTTACCCATAGTAGAACTTCTTTAAAAATTTGAGTCAGTCCTCTCAAACCTTGCTACTGCTTTATCCAACTATGTTTATGTCATATTCTAAATCCTTTGTTGTCATTTCAAGGATGTTCACAGCATCTTCACCAGAGTAGACTCCATCTCAAGAAACCATTTTCTTCGCTCATCTGTAAGAAGCAACTGCATCCGTTCAAGTTTTATCATGAGATTGCCACAATTCAGTCACATCTTCAGGTCTCACTTCTAATCCTAGTTCTCCTGCTATTTCCACAAGATCTTAGATCTGCAGTTACTTCATCCACTGACGTCTTGAACCCCATAAAGTCATCCATAATTCCAAAGTTTGGAATCAATTTATTTCAAACTGCTATTAATGTTCATATTTTTATCTCCTCCCATGAATCACGAATATTCTTAATGGTAGAATGGTGAATTCCTTCCAGAAAGTTTTCAATTTACTTTGCCCAGGTCCAAATAAGCCTTGAAAGTCAAAATTACTCCTTGATCCATGGGCTGCAGAATGGATGTTGTGTTAGCAGGCATGAAGACATTAATCTCCTTGTATATCTCCATCAGATATCTTGGGTGACCAGGCACATTGTCAATAAGCAGGAATATTATGAAAGGAATATTTTTTCCTGAGAGTGGGTTTCAACAATGGGCTTAAATTATTCAGTAAACCATATTGTAAACAGATGTGTTGTCATCCAGGCTTAGTTGTTCGATTTCTAGAGCACAGGCAGGGTAGATTTAGCATAGTTTTGAGGGGCCCTTGGATTTTCAGAATGGTCAGTTAGCATTGACTTCAAATTAAAGTCACCAGCTGCATTAACCCCTAACGAGAAAGTCAGCCTGTTCTTTAAGCTTTGAAGTCAGGCATTGACTTCTCTCTAGCTATGAAAGTCCTAGATGGCATATTCTTCCAGTGCTGTTTTGTCTACATTGAAAATCACTTATTTAATGTAGCCACCCTAATCAATGATCTTAGCAGGTCTTCTGGATAACCTTGCTGCAGCTTCTACATCAGCATTTGCTGCTTCACCTTGCACTTTTAGGTTATGAAAATAGCTTATTTCCTTAAACTTCATGAACCAACCTCCGCTAGCTTCAGACTTTTCTTCTGCAGTTCCTTCACCTCTCTCAGCCTTCATAGAATTGAAGAGAGTTAAGGCCTTGCTCTGAATTAGGCTTTGGCTTAAGGAAAGATTGTGGCTAGTTTGATCTTCTATCCAGAAACCACTAAAACTTTCTACATATTGCCAATAAGGTTGTTTTGCTTTCTTATCACTTATGTGTTCGCAAGAGTAGCACTCTTAATTTCCTTCAATAAATTTACATTTGCATTTACAATTTGGCTAACGTTTGGTACAAGAGGCCTAGCTTTCGGCCCATCTCAGTTCTTGGCATGCCTTCCTCACTAAGCTTAATTATTTCTAGCTTTTGATTTAAAGCAAGAGATGTGTAACTCATCCTTTCACTTGAACACTTAGAGGCCATTGTGGTGTTGTTGTTGTTGTTGTTGTTGTTGTTGTTATTATTATTTTGAGATGGAGTCTTGCTCTGTCACCCAGGCTGGAGTGCAGTGGTGTGATCTTGACTCACTGCAGCCTCCGCCTCCTGGGTTCAAGTGATTCTCCTGCCTCAGCCTCCTGAGTAACTGGGATTATAGGCATCTGCCACCATGCCTGGCTAATTTTTGTATTTTTAGTAGAGACAGGATTTCGCCATGTTGACCAGGCTGGTCTCAACCTCCTGACCTCAAGTGGTCCACCTGCCTCGGCCTCCCAAAGTGCTATGATTACAGGCATGAGCCACCACGCTGGGCCCATTGTAGGGTTATTAATTGGCCTAATTTTAATACTGTTGTGTCTCAAGGCATAGGGAGTCCTGAAGAGAGGGAGAGATGGGGGAATGGCTGGTTGGTGGAGCATTCAGAACACACACAACATTAAGTTCACTGCCTTAATATGGGTGTGGTTCATGGCACCCCAAAGCAATTACAATAGTAACATCAAAGATCACTGATCACAGATAAACATGACAGATATAATAATAATGAAAAGACTTGAAATATTGTGAGAAATACCAAAATGTGACACAGAGACATGAAGTGAGCACATACTGTTGGAAAAATAGCTCTGATAGACCTGCTTGAGATAGGGTCACCACAAACATTCAATCTGTAAAAAATGCAATATCTGCAAAGTGTAATAAGTTGAAGTGCAATAAAATGAAGTATTATTATTATTCCCGCTTCATAGATAAAGAAACTAAGGCTCCAATAGGTAAGTTGCCCAAAGAGAGGATTACACAAAAGCATGAATATCAGGAGACATTTTAGAAGCCATTTTAGAGGCTGTGTACTATAGTCACATAGTGAGTAAGTGGTAGAATAGGGATTCACACCCAGAAGCCTAACTCCAAAGATCACAGTCTTAACCTCAAGACTATATGGCCTTTTTGTTTAACAAACAGTGGTTAAATTGCTACTGTGTGCACAGCCCTGTGCTACGTACTGGTAGTACTGAGATAAAACTGACTCCATGTCCAAACTCATTTATGGGGTATATACCAGAATTTCTAATTAGTTGGGATTCAGTTGGGTGACAAGACTCTTGGAGAGCTTGGGCACAGGGCTAGGCTCCAGGCAGAGATGGAAGACTCGACACTCTCACAGAATAACAGGGCATAGTTTAGGGAGACTGAGGAGAGCTCAGGCCTGATGGCAGTGCAGGCGCTCAGAAATCCTGCCTGGGCTTCTAGACCAGGAAGAGTGGCTTAATTCCAAATCCTGCAGGACAGGATTTAGGGACTGAAGCTACAGATCAGTGGGAGGTCTATTCTTTGGAGTTGGCTCTGAGGAGCTCAGGAAGCAGAGGCAAGGGCATAGGAGGAGTGGATCAAATACTGCGTCAATGTTTCTTAGTCACAAACACACAGAGCTTTGATGTGGATATGGCAGATTTCTCTCAATAATGTCTAAGATTTCCAGTGTTAAATGTTCAGAACCTCATTTATTCATTCACTCATTTATCCATTCATCTATTCATTTATCCTCCCACTCACTCATGAGCTGGAGAAAATATCTTCCAGAACTCATAGGGAGAACTGCTGTATGTGGTCAGAAGGAATACTTTGATAAGCTGATTGAGGTGGAGAGTAAGATGCTTAAAGACATTGCTCAATGAAAAGAAGATGGTGATTCATATGCTCTCCAAGGAGGGTGAGTATGTTAGATGCAGGTTTTGTTTTATGGAGTAAGGTTATGCAAGTCTGGGCCAGAGCTGAATTGCTGAGGACATGGAGAAGCCAAGCCCTGACAGAAACAACTGCTATCTTTGTTTTTCTTCTCTTCACATCTAATCTATCACCATTCCCTATAATTTTACCTCTTAAATACCTCAATGAATCTGTTCTTACTCTATGCCTGTTGTTACCACTCTAGCTCAGATTCTTATTTAGTCTGACCTGTACTACTGCAAAGATCTTCTAACCAGCCTTCCTGCCTCCTATCTCTTCTCCTTCCAGT
Source organism: Homo sapiens (assembly GCF_000001405.40). Taxonomy (NCBI): domain Eukaryota; kingdom Metazoa; phylum Chordata; class Mammalia; order Primates; family Hominidae; genus Homo; species Homo sapiens. The sequence continues at coordinate 51,941,398 of NC_000001.11, read as the reverse complement.
CCATTCTCTACACCATTGTTAGAGTGATCTTTCTAAATCTCAGATCTAATTACGTTAATCCCTTGGCTCAAAATCTTTGATCTTAAAAAATCAAGTCCATACCCCATAGCATAGTATTCAGAGCTCTTTCTAGCTTCATCACCTACCTATGTCCCATCCCCTACCGTTCCTGAAGTTCTTCAGGAGTACTCACTGTCAAAAACTCTCCCTTCTGCCAAAATACCACTCCTTTACTTTTCTGCTTGGAAAAGGAAAATTCTTCTTTAGAAAAGTTCTCCTTATATTGCCAAATAAGCACACTTTCATGTGATGCTCCTGGGCTCGGTGCAGATTCCACCCATGGGAATCATTATGCCTTCTACCATATAGTCCCAGTTTTCCTCCTCAGCATATGATAGTATTGCACTTTCTTACCCCTTGAAAGTTGGGTGTGGGTTTGTGACTTGCTTTGGCCAGTGAAATGGGAAAAGTGGAAGTTTTAAGAGCCAATACATGACTCACATACTTTTTTCCCCTCTGGTAGTTGCTCTGTCAGTCTTTATCCTGGAATAAAGATGACAAAAAGCAGAGCACCCAGCCAGTCCTTAATGGATATGTAATAATAATAAAAAATAAAACCTTGTTGTTTAAGCTACTGACATTTGGGATTGCTTGTTCCTGAAGAACCCAGCCTATCCTAAAGGATATATTATCTCCACTTTGACATCTTCCATAACTACCCCAAACCACCATGTTTCTACTTTACCTGAACTTGTGTGACTCTTTTTTTTTTTCCTTTTGAGACAGTCTCACTCTTTCACCCAGGCTGGAATGCGATGATGCCATCTCAGCTCCCTGCGACCCTGCCTCCTGGGTTCAAGTGATTCTCGTGCCTCAGCCTCCCAAGTAGCTGGGATTACAGGTGTACACCACTACACCTGGCTAACTTTTGTATTTTTAATACAGACAGGATTTCACCATATTGGCCAGGCTGGCCTCAAACTCCTGACTTCAAATGATCTACCTACCTTGGCCTCCCAGAGTGCTGGGATTACAGGCATGAGCCACCATGCCCAGCCAACTCATTTTTTTTTATACCACTTATCTGGTGCTGATGACATATTACCTCATATTGCTAATTATCAATTTGCTGTTATATCTTAGCCACCTTCACAACTCTATTGAGGTTTCCTGAGGGCAGGGGTGGTGGTTGTTCTATGTTATTATCACACTAAGTATAGTTCATGGCTAAGGCAATATGTTGTAATGGGTGCAGGAGAGAGACAGATTAGTTCTGAATGAATCTTAGTTTCCTCACCTGTAAGATGAGAGTAACAACATATATTCTCCAGGGTTTTCTAGTATTTGTGGATAACAGGTGCAACCTGTATAAAAATAGTGGCATACTGAAATTATTTTTCTCCTTATTTATTTTTATTATAACTATAGATGGTGTTCAGTAGATGCTTGTGAATAAATCAATCTTTCATTGATGGAGTTGTGGTGGTACCTGCATTAGACATGGAATCAGAAGTCCTGGATTTGGCTGGGCTTTACAGGCTCATGCCTTTAATCCCAGCACTTTGGGAGGCTGAGGCAGGAGGATCACTTGAGTTCAGGTGTTCCAGACCAGCCATGGCTACATAGTAAGACCTTGTCTCTACAAAAGTAAAAAAAATTAGCCAGGCATGGTGGCACATGCCTGTGGTCCCAGTTACTTGAGAGGCTGAGGTGGGAGGATCACTTGAGCCTGGGAATTTGAGGCTGCAGTGAGCTGTGATCATGCACTCAGGACTGGATGACAGCGTGACATCCTGTCTCAAAACAAAAAAAGCTGGGTACACTGGCGAGCGCCTGTAGTCCTAGCTATTCTGCAGGCTGAGGTGGGAGGATCACTTGAGCCTAGGAGTTCAAGGCTGCAGTGAGCTATGATGATTGTGCCACTGCTCTCTAGCTTGAGTGACAGAGTGAGACCCTGTCTCTTAAAAAAAAAAAGTCCCAGATTTAAGGCCTACCTTTTTGTCACCAGCTTTATGACCTTGACCTTGGGAAAGTCACTTGCCCTTTCTGCAATTTTTGCATTCTCAACTATAAAGTGTAAATAATAATGACACCTACCTCACTGGAATCTCATAGAATTTAAATGAGGTAATATATGAGGACATGTTTTATATATGCTTAAGCATCACACATTCTGAGACTGTAATGATATAGAGAAGATTGGCTGGTCCCTCACACGAGGACTGTGTGGAAAATTTGGAAGCATCCCAATGTGCCCTGATAACCCTTTGCTGTTGGTCTTGTCTTTGTTGCTTGCTTACGTGTTTGTCTTTCCAACTAGACTATGAGCTACTTGTGATTAAGAATTGTCTTAAAGTCATTTTTTGAAAAAATGTTTATTTCTCCTTACATAAGAGTAATATGTGCTCATTGTAGAGATAATAAAAATACATGAAGAAGTCTGGGCACAGTGGTTCACACCTGTAATCCTAGCACTTTGGGAGGCTAAGGTGGGTGGATTGCTTGAGCTCTGGAGTTTGAGACCAGCCTGGGCAACATGGTAAAACGTCATCTGTACTAAAAATACAAAAATTAGCCGGGTGTGGTGGTGTGCTACTCAGGAGGCTGAGGTGGGAGGATCACTTGAGCCCAGGGGGTGGAGATTGCAGTGAGCCAAGATTGCTCCACTGCACTCCAGCCTGGGCCACACAGTGAGACCCTGTCTCAAAAAAAAAAAAAAAATTACATGAAGAAAATCAAAATCTCAGTAATTCTTGTCTCTTATTCAGAGAAAATCTCTATTAACCTTTTGATGTGTTTCTTCTATTTTTTTCTGTGCACATATAGTTATAAAACTAATACATCACACATACAAGTATTGTCTCATATCGTTAAATATTCTTACATACATGAACTTACATAAAAATTCTTACATTTTAACCATTCTCCTATTGTTGAATATATAAGTTGATGATATGTTTTCACTGTCTAGATAAAGTTTTAACAAATGTGTTTTTGTACATACATATTTGTCTGATTTTCTATTTTTATAGGGAAAATTTTTCTAATTTTGTGGGAAAAATTCCCAGAAGGAATATTTCTGGGTCAAAGAGTATGAACATTTTTAATGCTCTTAAGACTTCCAAATTGATTCCCAGAAAGGCTAAACCAAGTTCCACTCCCACAAGCAAGATGTGAATTTGTATATTTCACTGCATGCTTATCAATCATGGGAATTATTATTAAAAATAAGGGGCTGGGCACAGTGGCACAAAACCTTAATCCCAGCTACTCGGAGACTGAGGTGGGAGCATTGCTTCAGCCCAGAAATTCAAACTTGCAGTGAGCTATGATTGTGCCAGGGCTCTCAGCCTGGGCAACAGAGTAAGGCTTTGTCTTAAAAAAAAAAAAAAAAAAAAAAAAGAAACAAAAATAAGGTTAAAACTTTTTATGTAATAATTACCCACTCAACATTTCTTATGTGCTTGTTCATGCCTCTTGTCCACTTTTCCTTTAGGATTTTAATTATTCTTATTAAATTCTATGAGATTTAAAAAATCATTTTAATCTAGTCAGCAAGCACAATACAAGACACATAATAGATGCTCCTTAAATATGCCTTGGGTTGGGCGCGGTGGCTCACTCCTGTAATCCCAGCACTTTGGGAGGCCGAGGCGGGTGGATCACCTGAGGTCAGGAGTTCGAGACCTGCCTGACCAACATGGAGAAACCCTGTCTCTACTAAAAATACAAAATTAGCTGGGCATGGTGGTGCATGCTTGTAATCCCAGCCACTCGGGAAGCTGAGGCAGGAGAATCACTTGAACCTAGGAGGCAGAGGTTGCAGTGAGCTGAGATCGCGCCATGGCACTCCAGCCTGGGCAACAAGAGCAAAACTCCATCTCAAAAAAAAAAAATGTCTTGGGTTATTAGTTAATTGTCCTGGGGACTTTTTAGGAACCAAAGCAGACTTTCTAAGAGATTGTTTCTTTTCTTTTCCTGCCCAGGACACAGCTGGGCAGGAGCGGTACCGGACCATCACAACAGCCTATTACCGTGGGGCCATGGGCTTCATTCTGATGTATGACATCACCAATGAAGAGTCCTTCAATGCTGTCCAAGACTGGTATGAGACCCATATTCATTCATTCATTTAACAAACTGTTCATTAAAACCTAACATGTGCTAGGTCCTGTATTGTGTGCTGGGGAAGCCCAGATGAATCAGACATGGTTACTGGCCTCAGGAGTTTACAGACGAGAGCAGAAGACAGATCCATAAGCAGGAATGAAAATATCATGTGATAGGCCGGGTGCAGTGGCTCACGCCTGTAATCCCAGCACTTTGGGAGGCCGAGGCAGCCAGATCACCCGAGGTCAGGAGTTTGAGACCAGCCTAGCCAACATGGTGAAACCCCGTCTCTACTAAAAATACAAAAATTAGCCAGGCGTGGTGGCACGTGCCTATAATCCCAGCTACTCAGGAGGCTAAGGCAGGAGAATTGCTTGAACCTGGGAGGCGGAGGTTGCAGTGAGCTGAGATCACACCACTGCACTCCAGCCTGGGCAACAGAGTGAGACTCTATCTTAAAAAAAAAAAAAGAAAGAAAAGAAAAGAAAATGTGTGCTAGGTGCAGTGATGAAGCGAGGCATCAGGGCTGTGGGAACCCAGCAGAGGGCTCTCTGACCCAGTTTAGGGAGTCAGAGAAAGTGCCCTGGAGTTGCTGACACATATGCTGCATTTTGTAAGATGAACAGGAGTTAGCCCGAGGGACAAATGAATAAGGATGTTCCAGAAAATGAGTACAGATGTGCAAAGGTGAGAAGGTAGGTGCGAGTGTTGAAGGGCATAGGTCATGAAGGGTTTTGTGTGCTGCTATAAGGAGTTTGGATTCTGTCCCATAGGTGATGACGTATGAATTAGAAACCAACAGGTTCACATTTGTGTTTCAGGAAGATTACTGTAGCTCCAGTGGAGAGTGAATCCACATAGCACTTAAAGTTTATCCCTGGGCTGAGCCAGGTGTCCAGGAGCACATACAGTCCAAGTTCATCAAGGCTCAATATGCAATGGAAATCAGTACAGCACCCCAGAGTTGCAACCTCTGAGCAACTTATAGCTTTCTTCCTGGGGCACGATTCCCAGGAGAAGGGAGCCTGAGGGGAAGGACACATGAGAGGGAGGGCCAGGACCCAGTGTCCCTGCTCAGATGAGGATGGGGGAAGGTGGGACATCTGTGTGGTGGCTGTCCTTCAGAATCGGAGAGGCTGAGCAGACCAGGCACACAGCAGCAGTGCTGGCCAGTGCTGGGCTTGTCTCCTTCTCCCTTTTGCCTAATGGTGACCTTCGAGGACTTCGCTTCTCCCAGGGAGCAGTTGTCATAATTGTGTTGGCTTCACATACACAGCTTGAGCTGAGAGTGACCTTGTGGGCTGCCTGCTGCACTCCCCTGTTCTGACCAGCAGTTCAGGGTGTCATCAGCATGTCTGTCATTCCTGGGGGTCTGTGTTCTCCTTTTCTGCCTCCTGGTTATCCTCTTCTTCCTCCTTTCTGTCCCTTCCTTTTAAATAACTCTTTCTTCCCTCTACCTTGGGTCTTTCTCCTCTCCTTCCTCTGTTCTCTTCCCCTTCCCTTTACTCTCTCCACTCATCATTTTCCTCCCTTCCTCCCCTCTCCCTGCTCCTCCTCTTCTCTCTCATCACATCTCCCCTGAAGTGTCTCCACGCTGCCCATTTCCCTGTTGGCCTTGACCCCCTTCCCTTCCTCCCTCAGTCTCTGTTCATTCTGCCTCAGGAACACGGTGACTTTAACACCTGGTGACGATTCCTCCAAGAATAACCTGAGTTTGTTGCTAACCTGGGAGCTGAGAGGAAATGGGGTGGGAGAAGGGAGGAAGATGAAAGAAAGAGTAGCATGGGAGATAAGGAGAGCTGGCCCCAGTTACCTGCCTTGAGTCTGAAGACTGAGGGTCTATCTCTCCCAAGCCCTGGCCTTTGAGTTTTGTCTGTGGGTAACTTGGTCTCAGTCTCACCCCTACCTGCCATCCAAGCCCCAGTGCCCAGAATGGGGCCTGGTTTCCTGTGGGCCCACAAGAAGTGGTGGTTGAGTGAATTCCATCCTTTGAGGGAATGGCTTCTCACCATAAATGAGAAGGTTGGTGGTAAGATCAACTTTAAGAGCAGGGTCAGTAGTAGGTTCAGGTTGCAGTTAGGGTTGAGTTAGGTTGTCAGTGTCAGGGTAGAGTCAGATTCAAGATCTGCTTCAGGACTGACCATTCACTGGCTCGTTCATTTATCAGCATTCACTGACACCTTCTTCGCTGTGTGTTCTGTGCTGGGTATTGGCATCCCAAAGATGAATAGGCCGGTCCTTGCCCTCAGGGAGAGAGACAAATTCAGCCAAGTGTAATAGGTGTCATGGTGAACGTGCAGGAGACCAAAAGAGGAAGTAATCATTTCTACCTGATGGGGTCTTTGGGGAATGTTAGGCCCATCTCCACAAAAAGATGTCTTCATAATATAAGAGAGTCCTTTTTTATTTCCTCTTAAAATTTTGTTTTTAATTAAAGAAGTAATACATGCTCACTTTTAAAAATGTGAAAAGTACAGAAATTTGAAAAGGTTTTTTTTTTTTTTTTTTTTTTTGAGATGGAGTCTCGCTCTGTCACCCAGGCTGGAGTGTAGTGATGCGATCTTGGCTCACTGCAAGCTCCACCTCCCGGGTTCACGCCATTCTCCTGCCTCAGCTTCCTGAGTAGCTGGGACTACAGACGCCTGCCACCATGCCCAGCTAATTTTTTTTTTTTAATTTTTAGTGGAGACGGGGTTTCACCATGTTAGCTAGGATGGTCTCGATCTCCTGACCTCGTGGTCCGCCCACCTCGGCCTCACAAAGTGCTGGGATTACAGGCGTGGGCCAGCGCACCCGGCCAAAAAGTATTTTTTAAAAGTCTTATAATCATCTTATATGAAGGTAACCACTGCTGACATTTTGGTTCCTGCAAATAATCATAATCCGAGGCTTCAGGGAAGGTTTATGAATCACATAGGAGGAGGTGGAGGCTAAGTGGATCTAGGAGAAGCTTGAAGAGGCTCCCCTCAAGGTGTTGTGGGATCAGCACTGGGCCCTGGAGGATGAGTTAGTTGTGGGGAAGGACTTCCCAGTGTAGGCAAAAGCACAAGCCATGGAAGAGCTTTTGGGGAATGAGTAAAAAGGTTAGGGAGGCAGGAGAATGGGTAATGAGGCTGGAGAGACACAGCATGAGTGATCTTGAACTGAGGAATCTGGACTTGATCACATAGCTAGCTGGGGGCCAGAGAAGGCTTTTAAGAAAAGATTCATTGTGATCAAATACCTGTTTTAGAAAGACCTCTCTGCCCAGTGAGGAGAGGGATGGCCAGATATGGTAGAGGTGGACTTCAAAAAGATGGATGAGGTTTGCAGCTAGGGCTTAGGAGTCAGCATCTGTGACAGCCAGCAGGGACAGGTATCTGTCTGTCCTCAGCTGAATTAATTGGCAATAACTTGGATGTTGCTAGTCCTGTGGAAGAGAAACCATTTCTTCACACTTCACAGTTTTCTTTTTGTCATAGGAGGGTATGTGTCTTGGTCAGTTTGGGCTGCTATAACAAGAATACTATAGACTTGGTAGCTTAAATAACGGACATTTCTTTCTCACAGTTCTGGAGCTAGGAAGTCCAAGATCAAGGTGCCAGCAGCTCCAGTATCTGGAGACAGCCAGCTTCTTGTTGTATCCTCCCATGGCCAAGAGAGAAAGAGGGCTCTAGCCTCTTTCTCTTCTTATATGGACACATTTATTAGGACTCTAGCCTCATTGACATAATTACATCCCGAAGACTCCACCTCCAAATACCATTACATTGGGGATTAGGCTTCAACATGTAAATTTGGAGGTGGGGACACAGACATTCAGTCTATAGGAATATGATTAACATATCTCTTTCTATCTCATTTTAGGGCTACTCAGATCAAGACCTACTCCTGGGACAATGCACAAGTTATTCTGGTGGGGAACAAGTGTGACATGGAGGAAGAGAGGGTTGTTCCCACTGAGAAGGGCCAGCTCCTTGCAGAGCAGCTTGGTATGTACATGACACATGTATGTGCATGTGTGCATTTGTACACATGCTCATGAGAGTGGGGTAAACAGGGTACGAGTGTGTTTGTATTTATGACATTAGTGTTGTGATTGTGAATTATGTACCTATGTGATCTGTGTGTATTGTTTTATATTTGTATGAGGTACATATGGGCTTTGTGCTGTGAGTTTTAGATAATTCATCATTTTTGATATGTATATATTTTGTTATATTGAATGTGTAAATAAATTTTAAATTTATAAACTCTTTTTTTTTACCAGTTCCTTCCACAAAGGACTTGAGATATCTTATAAAAATGGTCACAATACAACAATAAAAATAAATAAGTAAGTGAGAAAATTGGAGCAAAGGGAAAGCAAGGGTGAGGGAAAAATAAGAGGAAGCTAGGGTAAGTATTAAGTTCTTGGACACCTGCAAGAGTTGGGGCCAAAATGTTGTCTTTGAGCTTCCTAGCAACCTTTGCCAAGAGGGAAACATAATCAGCTACATGGTTTAGAGTGTCCTAGTATAAAAACAAACCCATTATTCCAGAGAAGCACTACTCTTCATCATCAACTGTAGAGCAGACTCTGTATGCTGAATGTGACCATGTCTTGAATATCAAACATCCTTCCAGCACTGAGTATTTATATGCTGTTCTTACAGTTTATCTCAATGCAAATTCATGCTTCTCACCAAAACACAATTCACAACAAAAGTAATAGTATGAAGGAACAAAACTATGTGGTTTGAGTATGTAGCTCATCGGTGTCCTGACTTTTTCCAAGCTTAACATATTTTGATCCTTGTGCTCCTTTGAGGCCTAGGTGCCCAGGCATGTCTCAGTGGCCCCAAAGCAGAACTCTACCTACCTTTGCTTAAAAGAAGAGCTTTTATTTTATGTATTGGGGTCCAGGGTAAGGTTGCCTTACAAAAAGAGTTCCATGCCTGTAGGTTTGAAAGTTTGAAATCTTCCTCTAGAATAGATGTACTGCTTAGCTTTTAGACAGTCTCCCTAAGTATATCTCACATCCTTAGTGTTGTAAGTATTGAGGAGTGGAGAGTTTAAAGTCTCTGACAGTTTCTGAAGAACAGATATTTGGGCTTATAGGTGGGTAATCTGTATAAAATACAAGTGTGAATTGTGTGTTTTATATATTTGTATTATGAGTATGTGGGTGTGTGTGTGTTGTATACTTTTTTCTCCCCAAGGTGTCCTGTAAACTGTAGCAAACTATAAGTGCTTAATAAACAGGGAGGTTGGGTCATCTTGGGCCTTGCTGTCTCTACACTATCACAGAGGTTCTCAGAGTCCAGAAAGTGCCTCCATGTGGTCCATTGACCAATAAGCAAGTGATGAAGCCCACACCTGGTGAACTTTAGACGGTCCCTTTAGGCTTTCAACCTGTAGTCTCCCTGGAGGCTCCCAGCACTCTCCCTGGACTGACTATATTTCATCTGCTTGGAATGCTCTCTTCTACTCCCCATCTTCTACCCTCATCCAGCTGGTGAGACCCCACTCAGCTTTCAAAACAGCTTACACTTCACATCTTCTATGAAACCTTTCCCAGCCCCCTGCCAGAGCTCTTTATTTGTTCTCTCAATGCACCCCATACGTAAAAGAGTCACAGTACCCATCACAGTTGGATGCACTCATTTACTTGTCTGTCTCCCGAAAGTTCCCTGCAGACAGGAAATGAATCTTGTTTGTCTTTGTGCCTACTGTGCCTAGCATATGGCCGGGCACGGAGGATGCAAAAATATGTTTTGGTTAATTTTATGATGTTAAGTATTTGGGTACTTCATTTTATTGTCCAGTGAAGACTTCCTGAGTGCCTACTCTGTTCTAGGCCCTGAGCTGTGAAATAGGCTACATTTCCTGGTCTGAATAAGCTCGATCCAGTGAGAAAGCCTACAGTAACAGTCATAGTCCAATTGGTCAGGGCTGTGACAGAGGGATGTTGGGGGAGCATAGAGGAGGAACGTCATTCTCCTGGGATCAGAGAACATGATGCCCAAGTGGAGTCTTGAAGATAAGTAGGACCAGTCCAGTGAAGAAGAAAGTTAAGGGCATTCCAGGCAGGGGCATAACCCTGGCAGAGGCAAGGAGCTGCCTTGTGGGTCAGGGAACCATAAATCACTGGATGGTGTGAGTCTGGAGTAGTGTTGCCCAAAGAGGGGACTCACGCCACTGGAATTGTGCAGGATGATTTTCTGTATTTATTTTCTAATACATATTTGGATATGTATTAGAAAAAAATATACCAGCATGCCAAGCCCTTCTCACTAAGATTTTTTTTTTTGAGATGGAGTTTCACTCTTGTCACCCAGGCTGGAGTGCAGTGGGGCGATCTCGGCTTACTGCAACCTCTGCCTCCCGGGTTCAAGTGATTCTCCTGCCTCAGCTTCCTGAGTAGCTGGGATTATAGGCACCCACCACCATGCCTGGCTAATTTTTTGTATTTTCAGTAGAGACGGGGTTTCATCATGTTGGCCAGGCTGGTCTCGAACTCCTGACCTCAGGTGATCTGCCCACCTCAGCCTCCCAAAGTGCTGGGATTATAGGCATGAGCCACCTTGTATGGCCATTCTAAGATTTTTTAAAGGTGAATTGGTTAAACATTTATTAGGTGCTTACCATGTGTCAGGCACTATTTATTCTAAGTGTTTCAAAGTATTATGCATCTAATTTAATCCCTCTAAAACCCTCCAAGATATGTTCTTTCCTTATCTCCACATTTTGTGTGTGTGTGTTTTTTTTAACAGATGAGAAAAGTGAGGCACAGAGAAGTTGAGTAACTTGCCAAAGTCACACAGCTAGTAAGAGGGTAGAACCAGTATTTCAACTCAGGTGGTAGTCTGGCTCCCAGAGCCTGTGCTCCTAACCACTTAACTTTACTACACAGCAAATGTGGTAATCATAGCTGATATATATTGAACAAGGCACTATGTGAAATGTTTAGCATTAATTATCTCATTTAAGTCTCTTTATAAACCTTCAAGCTAGGTACTATAGAGCATGTCCAATACTCTCAAAAATGAGGTTCAGAGAGGTTAAATAACTTGCTCAAGCTATACCATTAGCAAGTGGTGGACTCAGTATAAACCTATCAAATTTATTTAGGAACACAGATAGAACACCTGAGATTAAATCTTAGTGCCATGTTTTTAGGAAGGCACTTGAAGAAGACCTTAATGAATTGGTTAGATTTGGGCAGGTCAAAGTAACCCATCTCTGCCTAACTCGACTCCCTGAGCTTTCTGCTATTGATCACCAGAACTTGCCTATTTACATGTTTATCTCTCCTCCTAGGCTTCTACTGCATGGATTGTGTCTGATTTGTTTCATTATCCTAAGGACCCAGCATAGGGTAGATATTCATTAATACATTTTACTTATTCAGTGAAAAACATTTATTGAGCACGCTGAGCCAAGTTCTGCCCTGGCACTTAGGATATAATGAATGATGAACAAACAGCTGCAATCCTTACTGTCATGGAACTAATGGGGAAAGAGACATTAAATAAATACTTACACAAATATTAATTAAAAATTGTGCAAATAAATGGGTGAATTGTATGGTATGTGAATTATGGCTCAATACAGCTGTTAAAATTGTGATAAGTTCTACTTGAGTTAGGACTCTTGTTATTGCAAGTGATAAAATTGCAAATCAAACTAGCTTTAATAAAAAAAATAGAATTGGCTGGGCGCAGTGGCTCACACTTGTAATCCCAGCACTTTGGGAGGCTGAGGTGGGTGGATCACTTGAGGTCAGCCTGGTTTGATACCAACCTGGTCAACATGGTGAAACCCCATCTCTACTAAAAATACAAAAATTAGCCGAGCATGTAGTCCCAGCTACTCGGGAGGCTGAAGCAGGAGAATCCTTTGAATCCAAGAGGCAGAGGTTACAGTGAGCTGAGATTGCCCCACTGCACTCCAGCCTGGGTGACAGAGCAAGACTCCATCTCAAAAAGAAAAAAAAAGGGAGAGAATGTATTAGCTCCTGTAACTGGGAAGTCCACAAGACCCAGGGCTCAATTGCACTCTCCATTTCTCAGCTTTACTTATCCCCTCAGCCTCTTTCTATAGCCAGACTCTCTGCGTGGGGAGTTAGAGGGATGATGGCAGATTCATGGCTTCCCAATTCCTGCAAAAAGAGACCTTCTCTCTCCCAACCACTATGAATCAATCCCAGAGAATACTATGATTGGTCACCTGTGAGTCATGTGCCCATCCCAGTGGCTGGGGGAGGCAAGTATGGCAACATAGTCCCAATATAACTGTTTAAAATGGTGGTTTCCTAAAGGAGGGAATGAAGGGGGCAGATAGAAGTTAACATAAGTCCACCACAAGTGCTATGAAGAAGTGCAAGAGAGAAACCTAATTTTAGGCTGGAGAGTTAAGGTTTTCTGAGAAAGTAACACTTAAGGTGAGAACAAAAGGATGAGAAAAGGCTAGCCAGGCAAAGAGTAGAGTGTAGGGAGGGGCATATTCCACATCCAGAATAGTCCCAATGTGGGTTAAAGCATGAAATATTCATGAAATTGAAAGAAGGCCATGGCACAGGGACTAAATAATCAAGGGAGAGTAGCATGAGATGAGGATGGACAGATGGGGAGAGATCAGATGATGCAGGATCTTGTAGACCACGTTAAGAATTTTGCAAGGATATGATCAGATCTGGGAACAGTGAAGGGGGATGTTCAGCCTTCCTCACCCTCACCCAGTGACTACCCCTCTGCTGTCTCAGGTATTAAGTCAGTTTCAGTGGTATCTTTGCCAGTGCAGTAATGCCATTCTCTGCTTTATGGGATCCCTCCTCAGGATTCCCTTTCTTGTAGCTTTTCTCAGCTCTCTCAGTCAAGACTATTGATATGGCCAACAATTCGTGTTTATTAAAGCTGTGAGGCTGGGCTTGGTGGCTCACGCCTGTAATCCCAGCACTCTGGGAGGCCGAGGCAGGTGGATCACCTGAGGTCGGGAGTTCGAGACCAGCCTGACCAACATGGAGAAACCTCATCTCTACTAAAAATACAAAAATTAGCCAGGCGTGGTGGTGCATGCCTGTAATCCCAGCTACTCGAGAGGCTGAGGCAGGAGAATCGCCTGAACCGGGGAGGCGGAGGTTGCGGTGAGCAGAGATCGCACCATTGCACTCCAGCCTGGGCAACAAGAGCAAAACTCCATCTAAAAAAAGAAAAAAAAAAGCTGTGTGTTGTGATTGGCCTTCCATATCCTCAAAGTTCCTGGGACTTGGTTGAGATCATATAGATGCTGAGGCAGGTGGGTGTTTGGAACAGTAGAGGAGTTTTAGGGACTTTTATTTCAAGAAGCATGACCTTTTAGGGTTCTGCCTCCATGTGCTCCTCGGAAAGGGGCTTCTTGTCCCTTTCCTGGATCTGACTGGAGATCTGACCAGAACCCAGGGAGGCTAGTAAAAGGGAAATATGCTTCTGCCTACAAAGGAAGGAGAGACCATCCACAATGTAGTTTTTTGTTTTATTTTGTTTTGAGGCAAGATCTTGCTCTGTCATCCAGGCTGGAGTGCAGTGACACAATCTTGGCTCACTGCAACCTTCACCTACGGGACTCAAGCAATCTTCCTGCCTCAGTCTCCTGATCCCAAATAGCTGGGATTACAGGCATGCACCACCATGCCCAGCTAACTTTTATGTTTCTTGTTTGTTTGCTTGCTTTTTTGGTAGAGACGGGGTTTCACTGTGTGGCCCAGGCTGGTCTCAAACTGCTGGGCTCAAGTGATCTGCCAGCTTTGATCTCCCAAAGTGCTGGGATTACAGGCTTGAGCCACCATGCCCAGCCCAAAATGTAGTTTTGAAACACACACATACCAGCATAGTGTAGTGGGAAAAGCACGCCCAGACTAGGAATTAGGAGATTCAGAGTTTTATCCTGCTTCTGCTACTACTTTACTATGTGACTTTGAGCATTGCATTTGCTGTCTCTGGGTCTCTGTATTTACCTATCTGTAAAACATGCAGTTTGGATTAGTTGAGTAGGAAGATCTGTTTGGCCCTATCCCACTTTGATTCTGTGATTTCAGTTTACCCAATTCCGCATTCATGACTCAGACCCCACAGACTCTCATACACTGCCTTGCTTATTTTAGGTGCTCAATAAATCTGTGTGTGTGTGTGTGTTTTCTAGATTGAGATGAACCAAGGAACCTTGTGTCATTGAGTCTGGTTGCAGAGAAAGAAAGGCCTAGTTGGCATTGATAATAACTAACAGTGACTTAAAATTCACAATATGCTTTCACGAAAATCCTCTTGTGACCTTTGTTGTCACTTCTAGCACAGAAGGCTGCATTATCATCAGCTATTGTAATACAGTATCTGTATTGCTGTATAGTACATAGTATATTATCACCAGTACAGTAAACCAGTGATTTTCTTGATGAAGAAGCTGAGTCCAGACCACTTGCATTTTCTTGCACACAATGAGCTGTGCCACACTTCTGTGCCTTTATTTTCCCACTCTAAGATTATGTAACTTTTCTAAGCCATGTAAGTAGTAGATGGCAGGCCCCGTACTCAAACTCAGACTTTGACTTAAAATCCTAATGTTCTCATATCATCCAATGGTGTTTTCCCAAAAGCCTGTCATAGTTTCTCTTCACATTTCCACCCTCAGCCACAATATTGGTGAGATTTCTTTAGATTATGCTGTGGTAACACACAGCCTGAGTCAGGAGAATAAGGGTTTCTTTCTCACTCATTACATACCAGCTACAAGTCAGCTGCAACTCTGTTCCATGCATTTTCTTACTCTGGGGTCCGTTTGGAATGGCTAAACCACACAAAGCCTCTTAAAGCTTCCTTGGGACTTGGATCACATCACTTCTGCCCACATCCATTGGCCAAAGCAAGTCACATAATCAAACTCGATGTCAATGGAGTGGGGAGACGTATTCTTCCCACAAGGAGGCACTGCAAGCTAGTGGTAATGTGGAGGTATAAAATCTCTTGCAGGCAGGGCAGTTCACAGTCACTGAACACATCATGGACTCTGGGGACACAGAGGTGAATGGGTTCCCTTCCCTCAAGATGCACACTGACTAGGGAAACAAAATTGCAAACAGATAATTATAACCTTCTTTGGGTCGATGGCTATGCCAGTCCTCATCCTACTTGCTATTATTTTTCACCCTCTCCTGTTGTTTTTCCTGCAACCCCTTCTGAGGGTTTGACCTTTGCAGGCTATGTTTCCCAGCCTCCTGTGATGGTAGCTTCTGGCTGGGACTAGCCAAAGGAAGATATTGGCAGGTGACTGGAGATGCAGCAAAGGGAGAAATCCAGGTATTTTCCCCCTGCCTCAGCTGGCCCCCCAGCAGGGGCTGCTCCTCTACTGTGACTCCTGCTCTCATGGTTCCAGCATCTTTTAGCTCTAATACTAGTATTTTTTGCTTTTGATAATCTCTGGGTTTCCTCAATATTCTGTTTAGCTTCTTAGTTCTTCCATCACCTATATAAGCAATTCCTTCTGGTTTAAAGAATAGTTCCCATTTTTCTGGTTGGAATCTGACTGAAACAATCACACAAAGTGCCATGAGAGTACAGGGGAGAGAGACATTATATGTTCTGAGTGGTAGAGGTGTTGTGGGGAAGAAAAAGTGAAGCTTCTCTGGGATCAGTAATTCCACAGATGAATAATGAAGATGATTAGGAGTAGTAGCTAGAGATTAATAACATGAGCAATGGCACAAAATCAGGAAGCACTGATGTTTCTGGAGCATAGTGTGAGCCAGGAAGATGAAGCTGGGGGAGTAGAGACCAGGCCATGCCAGGTCTTGGGTGTTCAGCCAGTGAGGCTGGATATTGAATTGATCAGACCTCTTTCAATTCCAGTGACACAAATCCAAGTCAAAATAGCTCAAGTTATAGGGACAGGTGAATAGCTGAAGCAAAATGGAAGAGAAGGTCCATCCAAGGTGCCGGATGGATTGTCCACATGACACTCAAAGTTCCAGAGAATGAAAACAAGCCTTGAGTAGAAAGGAAGACAGTGAGTCCCACTGAGCCCAAATCATCAGTGACCAGAGGATGTGAGTTGAAGGTTGATAAATGACAGAGATGAGGTGGTGTCAGAGCAGGATGGAGAAGGGATCTGAACCGTGGAGGAGACATGTTCTGGAGCAGTGTTGGGATGAGGAGAGGTGAGTTTAGCTGGTTGCAAGTTTCTGAATAGAATTCTGAGGTCGTATTCAGAAGCAGGCAGTGTGGATGCAGTCTATGGGTCTGTGACAGCTGCCTTTGGACAGAGTAGATAAACGTGATCATTTTTGGGGGGTGGAGGAACATCTCAGATTCAGTTAAGAATTGAGCCCCATTAAAAACAGCAGAAATGTCATTGTTCTGAAGCCAATTAGGAGAAGAAAAGGACTGGGGGCTAGTCTGGATAATTGGTTGTCATCTTCCTGGCCTCACTAGATTCTCAGCTCCTAAAAGTCCTTATTAATGAACCTGAAGAAAAGGTTACCATATGGACCTACTAATGAAGAATATTTCAGGAATCTGACAGTAATTGGGTGGGGTGCATTTGGGGTTATTCTGCTAAGCAAGAGAGGCCCTTGAGCTGGCTAGACCCATGAGTTGGTAACTTGAGTCACAGTTCTCACATTCCGGGTACCTTTGAGATGACAGTAAAGACATCTCTTTGGCATGACACAAGAGCTCCCCCTGTTTGGCCCCCTGCTGACTCAACTCTCACCACTTAGGGTTTTCTGCTCTAAGGATAACAAACTGCTATGGCCCTTTTGGCATAGACCAAGGCTGATTTTGCCCCCTTATCTGTGCTCTATTCATGCTGTCTCCCCTGCCTGTTGTGCTATGCTAGACATGCCTGTGCTCACACATACACTCACAGTGACATGTCTTTGTCTAGCTGATATCTGCTTAAGCATCAGCTTCTCCAAGAAACCGTCCCTGGTCTCCAGGCTTGGTTAGATGCTTTCTCTGTGCCCTGACAATCCCCTGGCTTCCCTCCATTCCAACACTTATTGCCCTGTAATATTGTCAATGTGTCTATCTTCCATAACACACTAGGGGCTCCTCAAAGGTAAGGGCTGTGTCTGATTCACCTTGCTGTCCCCAATGCCCAGCACCGTGCTCATTGAGCTGAGCTTTCATGACCCACACTATCCGTATCCCCTCAACCACACCCTCCTTGCTCATTCCCACCTCCTTAATTCAACTATTCATTCCACCAACATTCACTAAGCACCTACTCTTCCAGGTGGTGCTGGGGCTCAGAATGACATAGTTCCTGTTTGGGGAGCTCCCTGTCTATATGGACTTCTGCCATGCAGGGTAAAAAGTGCTATGGCAGGAGGAAGCACAGAGGAGAATGAAGATACCATATGTAAGCTGAGTCCTGAAGAATGAGAAGAAGTTAGGTGAAGAGTTTTGTTTAATTATTTTTAATGTAATTTATTTGTGTATTCATTTATTTATTTATGGTCTCGAACAACTGGCCTTAAGCAACCTTCCTGCCTTGGCACCCCCAAAGTACTGGGATTCCAGGCTTGAGCCACTAGCACCTAGCCAGTTTTGCTCAGTTCTGACTTTTTTTTTTTTTTTTTTGAGACAGAGTCTCACTCTGTCGCCCAGGCAGGAGTGCAGTGGCGCAATCTCAGCTCACTGCAACATCTGCCTCCCAGGTTCAAGCAATTCTTCTGCCTCAGCCTCCCGAGTAGCTGGGATTACAGGCAGTGCCACCACACCCGGTTAATTTTTGTATTTTTAGTAGAGACAGGGTTTCACCATGTTGGCCAGGCTGGTCTCTAACTCCTGACCTCAGGTGATCCACCCACCTCGGCCTCCCAAACTGCAGGGATTACAGGCGTGAGCCACTGCACCCAGCCTGAGTTCTGACTTTAAAGGCTCACATCCTCACTAACTTCAAGAAGCTTCCTCCTCCTCTCCTTCCCTGCCAGCCTCTCCCTCTCCTGCATCCCTGCATGGCCTCTGGTTTCCTCTACCTGGGTTAGAATGTTACAGCTTGTTCTGTTGCTGTTCCAACTGAGCGTGAGACAAGGAGGCATAAGGGATAGACCCCTGGCCCATCTCTGAGTCTCAGTTTTCCTGTCTGCAAATTACAAGTGCTAACCCTTGCCTTGCCCCACCCCACTCACATGGTTGTTTTCGTATTTGTGAACTGTTAATGTGAACTGCAGATGGGAGAGACTGATGCCTTTATTAGCATGTCTTTTCTACAACTATAATTGATCTCCCTGTGTCTGTATCTCTAACACTCAACACAAGACATGGCACAAGGTCAATGCTCAATAAAGACTTGGTGGGCCAGTCACTGTGGCTCATGCCTGTAATCCCAGCACTTTGGGAGACCGAGGCGGGCAGATCACCTGAGGTTGGGAGTTCCAGACTAGCCTGGCCAACATGGTGAAACCCTGTCTCTACTACAAATACAAAAATTAGCCGGGTGTGGTGGTGGGTACCTGTAATCCCAGCTACTCAGGAGGCTGAGGCAGGAAAATCGCTTGAACCCGGGAGGCAGAGGTTGCAGTGAGCCGAGATTGTGCCACTGCACTCCAGCCTGGGCGACAGAGCAAGACTCTGTCTCTCAAAAAATAAATAAATAAAAATGAAATTAAAAAAAAAAAGACCTGGCTTATTGATTGACCCTAAGTGATGAAGACAAAGAGATTTCCCCAAAGGCCCTGGAGACAGTAGAGGTGCAAGGAAGCTGGGAGTAAGGTGGGCCAGGAACATATAGGAAAGAGAATTGCCATGTATTCACATGCCAATCATGTCATATACTTTCATGGATTTAATTTTCATTACTATCCTATGGGGTAGGTAGTATTCGCCTCATTCTATAGATGAGGAAACAGAGACTGGGAGCAATTAGGCAACTTGTCCAAGATCACACAGCTAGTAGCTGCCCTCTGTACAATGTGGCATGTCCTCCCCTCAGTGCCACTTCCTCACAAGGGATTTGTGCCCCTGGCCTTGAACTGTGTCCTCATCTTCATCTGAGCTGAAAACCTATTTACTTACTTACTGGTCTGCCTCTTTCCCAAATAAACAATACACTCCCCGCACCTCCCCAAACACTGCCACTTGTGATAAGGCAGTCAAAGACTGGGGAGTCCATTTTTGTGACGTTCATTAAGGAAAAACGATATGCTGGAGGGTCTCTGAAGCTGACTGGGTTTCTATGGCCTGAGTATAATGAGCCAGCAGCTGCCTCCTTCTTCATCACATGTCCACAATTAGCAGGCACTTCTGCTGCTTGTCTTTCTCAGGTCAGGAGATGGGCCACAGGAGAGGCTGTCAGCTGGAGGTGGGCTGGCAGGAATGGCATGTGCCTTCCAGCCAAAAGGCTGGGAAAAGAGAGGCCTTGTTTATACCTGGGGGGCTTCAGCCCTCTCTATGGATGGTGGAATAATAGGGAGAAAGAGGGAGGGGGGAAAGAGATCCCTCCTTTGTTAGAGAAGATGATAAAAGAGGATGTTAGAAAGATGGAGAGGAGGTGGGAGGAACAAGTTGAAAGAACAGAAGGAAACTGTCTTTATAACAGGCCACTTTTTTACAGCAATGTATTCATCATCTCACACACTCCTCCCACCTGTTCTTGGTAGGAAGACACTGTTGTTTGTCTTATTTGACAACAGGGAGTCTGAGAATTGGAGAGGTTAAGTGAGCAGAGAGGTGAAGTGACTTGCCCAGACTCAGATACTGTTAGTCGGATTAAAGCAGAGGAGGCCAAAGAGACTTGTAAAGGAAGAAAAAGGTATAATCAGGAAAAAAAAATGCAAAGTGAAAGAGAAAAGGGGGAAGAAATGAGAGGCAGAGCTGTGTGTGGACTTTGGAGACAGCCAAACCCAGGTCTAAATCCAGTTTCCGCTAATACAGCCACATGACTTTGTGTGAGTTATGCAGTCTCTCATATTCTCATTTATAAATTGGAGATGATGTTATTTACCCAACTGGTTATTGTGAGGATTAAAGAAGATGATATCAGTAAAGCTCCTAGCATAGTGTCTGGCATGTAGTAGTTGCCCCAAAGATATTAGGAATCCCAAGGAGAAAATGCAAGGGACACAGGGGAAAGGCTCCAAAAGAAGGGAAAGAGGAAAGCAGACAGACAACAGAAGTGGGAGAGGGCTGGGGACTGATGGAGAGGGCCACTTTTGCTTCTAAGGGCTGCCACCAAGCTGACCAAGATTCCTTGGGTGGAAAGCAGCCTTTTGGAATCAGGAGGGCCTTTGCTGTGTCTCTTGGGACAACCAAGTTCTTTTCATCACAGAAAGTGACGCTAAGGGTCTCAAGATACAAAATAGACAAGAATGTTGCATACCTGAGATGTAGTTTTCCCTGGGCCTTTTGTTGGGTTTGTGGAGGGAGGGTGAGATCTATTGGATCGTTTTAGTGGAATTCAGGGAGGAGGAACCCCACTGAGTGGAAATAAACCAGTGTGGCTATGGGTGGAAAGGGCAAAGAAGACTTATTCAGTGTGAATCTTGAGGTGCCTCCTAGAGCCCAGACTAGAGCTGGCCAGCCTAGGGGGAATGAGAGGCAGGGGAAAGAGGAGGAAAATCCCTGCGAAAAAGTCCAAAACCTGGGCTTCTCATACTGGTGCTTTTCCTTATCTTGGGCAAGCTAGCTTACTTCTGTAAGCCAGTGTTTGTATTAGTGAAGTGGAGAGGATCTGACTGAGACTCCTTCCTCAGGGGCAACATGAAGATCAAATAAAATAATCTATGTGATAAGTGCTTTGGAAACTGTAAGGTGCTGTGGACACACGTTTATGCATTTGCTCTGTCAGCAAACACTAATGACCCCCTCTGTGTCAGGCACAGGGTTATATATTTCACATACATTGTCTTGCCTGATCCTTGAAATAATTCTATGAAGTAGGTAAAATTATCCCTTTTTACAAACCAGGAAATTGATTTGTAAAGAGAATAAATGACTCAGCCCGGAATTAAACAGCTGGGCGGTGGTAGAGCTAGGATCAGTCTGACTGAAAGACCAGTGCAGGAAACTCCTGCCCTGTACCGTCTCCTTGAAGCAGAATCCCATGTCCGTGGAATTTAGCCTCTTTGCTTCACTGCTGAGCACTGGACATATTAATCCAGAGTGCTTGGGCTGAGGGCACAGAAGGGTTCCAGCAGAAGGGATGGGAAAAGTCCTTATCTGTATCTCTCCTCTTTCCAGGGTTTGATTTCTTTGAAGCCAGTGCAAAGGAGAACATCAGTGTAAGGCAGGCCTTTGAGCGCCTGGTGGATGCCATTTGTGACAAGATGTCTGATTCGCTGGACACAGACCCGTCGATGCTGGGCTCCTCCAAGAACACGCGTCTCTCGGACACCCCACCGCTGCTGCAGCAGAACTGCTCATGCTAGGCAAGGCCCACCTTCCTGACCTCCCCTCATTGTGGCCCCACACCCAGTCTGCTTCTCCCTGTTACACACTGTCCGCTCTCAGCCCACTCTCCCTGTTACACACTGCCCACACTCAGAGCAAGATGAGTTGCTGCTATTCTTTGCCTGCCCCTGGGGTTCTCTGCAGATGGTCCCAGTAATAGATACTCAGCACTAGACTAACATAACAGGTCACTACACGGGTGCAGAATCACTTTACAAAAGAAGACTCTGTTTTACGAAGGGGATTCACTACAGGGACTTAGAGAACAGTCTCTTTTCTGCCTTTAAAATGAGAGTTCCTCCATTTACCAAAATTTGACACGCACACATTCTTCAGGGGCATGCCAATTGCGTAAAGTGAGGCTCGCCTGCATAGCTAATCCTGTTAAAGACAACTTCTCAAAGCACAACGTGCTTGTTTCCTATCGGGCTCCCTGCGGGGCTTTCTCTCACTACAAGTCAAGCTTGGGCTCTCAAAGCCCTGCGCCTGTTACCACGGATGCCCACAGGGCCTGGGCAGTTGCTGTGGCGACAGGAAGAGCTAATCTTCAGAGAGCTCAGACTCTCTAATGATGCTGAAGGAGCAAAGGCTGAGTCAGAAACACACTTAAGAGAAAAGGATTGGCCGGGCGCGGTGGCTCACGCCTGTAATCCCAGCACTTTGGGAGGCCGAGGCGGGTGGATCATGAGGTCAGGAGATCGAGACCATCCTGGCTAACAAGGTGAAACCCCGTCTCTACTAAAAATACAAAAAATTAGCCGGGCGCGGTGGCGGGCGCCTGTAGTCCCAGCTACTCGGGAGGCTGAGGCAGGAGAATGGCGTGAACCCGGGAAGCGGAGCTTGCAGTGAGCCGAGATTGCGCCACTGCAGTCCGCAGTCCGGCCTGGGCGACAGAGCGAGACTCCGTCTCAAAAAAAAAAAAAAAAAAAAAAAGAGAAAAGGATTATCCCCTACAAAATGTCAGAGGTTCCTGCTATATGAAAGAGCAAGTAGGTATGCTCAAGAAAGACAAACAGAGAAAAAGAGAAACAGGCAAGATCAAGAAACAGATCATGAGTTTCTGATTTTGCTGCTTTCCAGTTGGTTCTTAACTGTGGGAACTTAGTGAAATTGGTTATTAGTTCTTAGACTCCTAGAACCTGAGGATTTTAGATTTGACGGGATGCCCAAATTTACCTAGTCTGACTAGTCAGTTCTAACCTTCCTTTTTCTGACAAGTGACTGTCAAGCCTAACAATCAAATCTCTTTCTTTTAAAGCACACCTTCTAGGCAGGGACAGGAGCTCATTTTCCACACCATCTTTGTCAACTCTCATAGAAAGTTTTCCTTGTATCGAGCTCAAATCTGCCTCCTGGAAATTCTTCTTCTTCTTCCCTCCCTGTTGGTACCAGCTCTGCTGTCAGAGACTTCACAGTCTGTGCTCCCTCTGCCCTGTGACGTCTTCAGACTATTTGAGAACAGGAATCATGACTCCTGGGACTTGCCTTTTCTCTAGGTCAAATACCTCTATAATTCCATCTGCTGTTCTTCATAGGGTCTTCTCCCTATCCTGCCCTTTTCCTCCAATCCATCTTTTAACTGCTCTTGAGCAGTCTAACTGAGAAGTATGATTCAAAGCAAAATAAATCTTAAGGTGGCATGACTCTGAAAAAATTGAGAAAATTGAACTCAGAGATCCCGATCCCAACCCCTTTCTCCTGGGAGTGAAACCTTAGTTTCTACCAGAGAGTGTGGGAAACCACTTCTGGTGGAAGCCCCTTAATTAAATACCTGAGGAAAAAAATAAAAGAAACTCAGAGACCAGAATAAATTAGCTCATTATTCTAGCTTGCTTGGCCACAGGGACATATTTTGTTTTGGCTGAAATAATGACATGGAACTGGCAGTGATTCCAGAAAACCTTTCTTCTCTATCATGGCCTGAATCCTCAGCCACCTCAAAAGTCAGCGGGCAGGAGGAGTCTCTCGCCAGTTTTCTTTTCATTTCAAATGAGGCTCATTGTCCTAGAAAAGTAATTAACTAGCAACCAGTCCAATGACTAAATAAAAGGACCATCCAGCTGTGGCTCACACCTGTAATCCCAGCACTTTGGAAAGCCAAGGCAGGAGGAACACTTGAGGCCAGGAGTTTGAGACCAGCCTGGGCAATGTGGTCAAATTCTATCCCTACAAAAAAAAAAATTAGCCAGATGTGATGGTGCATGCCTGTAGTCCCAGCTACTTGGGAGGCTGAGGCAGGAGGATTGCTTGAGCCCAAGAATTTGAGGTTGCAGTGAGCTGTAATTATGCCACTGCATTCCAGTCTGGGTGACAGAGTAAGAATAAGACCCTGTCTCTCTGTCTCTCTTTCTCTCTTTTTTTTTTTAAAGGAGTCAGCTCTACAAAGATGTTGCTTTCTTTGATGCAATGCAGAGAGCAGAGCTTTGGACTTGGAATCAGGAGACCCGGACTCTGTCATTAAATCAACTGTGACTCTGGGCCAGTTACTTTCCACTTTTGAGTCTTGATTTCCTACTTATAAAATGAGGGAGCTTATTTGGATGATCTTTAAGGTCTCTTTTGGCACTAATAACTCGGTGTCTCTTTTTTTTCACCTTCACCATTTCAGTTGATCCACCAAACAAACCTGAGAGATCAGGATTGGCATCCAAGAGTTGTCTCGGCCAACTCTGATGTCATGCTTACTCTGTACTAGACATTGTTCCAAGCATTTTACGTGCATTAACTCATTTATCTTCCCAACATCTTGTGAGGGAGGCACTATAGTGAGCCTCATTTGAAGATGAGGAAACAAAGGTACAAAGAGGTTCTAGCTGGACCTCTAAAGTCACATAATAAGTAAGTGGTAGAGCTGGAGTTCACATCCAGGCAGTAGGCTCCAAGGTCTGTGCTCTTAACCACATTCTGGGCTGCATCTTTTATAGACAAACTATGATCCAGAGAGATTACGAGACTTGGATCACATACCAAGAGAGTGTTAAAGCCACATTAGGATTCAATTCCAGGGCCATCAGATTCCAAGTCCACT
This sequence comes from Homo sapiens, assembly GCF_000001405.40. Classification (NCBI taxonomy): domain Eukaryota; kingdom Metazoa; phylum Chordata; class Mammalia; order Primates; family Hominidae; genus Homo; species Homo sapiens. The sequence continues at coordinate 51,916,876 of NC_000001.11, read as the reverse complement.
GGAGAAAAGATGTATATCTCTAATCTGTTAACAAATTGCTCAACTACTCAGACTAATCCCAGGTGATGGATGTCTAATGCTCAGGAAAGGCGAGTCAGTCTCTGAGGCAACAGATCCCATGGGCCTGGGTAGAAAATGCCCAGTGCTTCCCAGTCCCAAGTGCTGGCTTTCCCTGTATCTGCCTCTGCCAGGCAACACTTATCAGGCTCCCAATCAGCAGGAGCCTCCATGCTCCACTTTGAACAGCCTCTATGCTCCAGCAATGGGGCATTTGTGAAGAGTGACTTGATTAACTTTTCTGACCATGGGTATAATACAGTTGCTTCAGAGGGCAGTGGTTCTGGGTGTGATTTTTACACTGTAACATTGTATACAGTGTCATGGATAATTACTATTTTTTTCTGGTCATTAACACTCACCTACTCTAGTACTAGGATTTCAGACCAAGGTCCTCATGACGCCTGGATATTTTAGTATCTATATCCAATAATCTTTTCTCTCCTACTGAATATCCAGGCAAAGATGAAATCGTTTTCTTTAAAACTGTCAAATTCTGTAAAACTCAGGAGCCAGTTCAAGGGAACAAGCATCTTCACAATAGATGGAATCAAGAGTTAAATGTTATAGTGGCAAGCTTGTCTACTGGGCAACAGACAACCAGACCTGCTTGTGAGATGGCAGCTCCCCAGCCCTGCTCTGTGACCTCATTTCTGTCAAATGAAAGGCAGCAGCTTCCAGCTGATTGCAGCATAGTGTTCATCAATCACAGTAATAGCGCAATTAGCCACCAAGGTTCAAGCTGTGTAATATGTGTTAGTGGCAACTTGTCCTGGATTTAATCTTCCTCAACAATCCAAATAAAATATTTAAAAACTCTTGACTTCTGGCTGGGCGCAGCAGCTCATGCCTGTAATCCCAGCACTTTGGGAGGCCGAGGTGGGCAGATCACCTGAGGTCAGGAGTTCAAGACCAGCCTGGGCAACATGGTGAAACCCCCATCTCTACTAAAAATACAAAAATTAGCCAGGCGTGGTGGTGGGCACCTGAAATCCCTACTCAGGAGGCTGAGGCAGAGAATCGCTTGAACCTGGGAGGCAGAGGTTGCAGTGAGCCGAGATCGTGCCACTGCACTTCAGCCTGGGTGACAGAGCGAGACTCCATCTCAAAACAAAACAAGCAAACAAACAACAACAACAAAAAACACCTCTTGACTTCTAAAGACGCAAAAGTGGCCAAAAGTGCAATACAGTATTGTGTTTATTTACATCTATTTTAAATGCATGTGTATCTGTAAATACAAAGTGATTCGTGACTCATTGTCTCCTCAGTCTATAGCATTATTAACTTCTAGGAGCAGCAGTGGAGTAGAGTGTACTGAATGGTCACAGACTCATCGATTATCAGATCTGGAAAGGAGCTTAGAGAAGATCTGTTCCAGGCTCCTATTTTATAGAAGGGAAGGTTGACATCCAAAGAATGGAAGGAAATCTCCTAATTATTCTGAGAGTATCACAGTGATGGAGCCAGGACTAGGTCCTGGATCACCTCTAAGAAGACACTTAGCTATTTGACTATCGACTAGGGCCTAGCATTATTAAGCACTAGATAAATACAGATGAAAAAAAAAATGATCCCTGCCTGCAAGGTCCTATGATCTAATGGAGATGCTGTTTCTAAAATATTATTATCCCAATTTGGCAGTCAAGGAAACAGCCCTGGAAAAGTTAACATGCTCAAGTCACCCACTAGCATCATTTGAACCCTCCTCTGTCTGACTCATGCTCTTTCAAATTTTTTTCTTCAGATTGTCTTAGCAGAAGGGTAGATGGGATATACCCTCTGGTAGTACCAGGCTCCCAAGGATTCTTAGAGTTAAATAACCTCAGTTAATTAAATAGCCACAATTGCTTGGTGACCGAAGCCTTATAACATCCACAGAATAAGACCATTCTCCAGACCTGACTCCCCAACTCATATCACCTGCTCCTGCCGGCCACTAAGCTCCTTGCTTGGATATCGAGTTTTCTGGAGTATCCTGAGGAATGTTTGTTTGACTTTGTTTGCCAACAGTTTAGGGGAAGGGGAAAGAACTACAATAACCAGTGTCCTGGGATCTCATTGATTTCAGATTCCCTGCCCCAAGCCTACACCCAATTACCTGCCATAGTTGGGGAATCAAGTAGCATCCTGTGGCTGGAAGTAAATGCAAAACACTAGTCCGTGAGATATAAATACTGTTAAATGATGGTTTTTTAAGGTCCTGATCCATTATATGAAGTAGACAAAATTCAAATTTATTTATTCATTTATTTTCTCAACAAATGAATATATATTATGTGCCAGGATACAAGTAGTGGCAAATTAGACACAGTTCTTGCTTTCATGAAACGTATAGCTTCATGATTTAGTATAGACATTGTCAAATCATCACCCAAATATAATTACAAAGTACTCTAAAGGAAAGGCACGTGATGCTGTGAGAACACTCAACTGGGAAACCGGAATCACCTTTGAGAAACTGTTTCAGGGGCTCTTGGAAGAGTCTACTGCTCCCAAATATCTCTGCTACCCACTGGCCATTGCTTTACATTCCTCAACTAAGCTTTCACCTTTTAGTACTAACCTTTGATGACTGATCAAATACAAATGCCCCAAGAAGACTGAGGATAGGAGAAAGAATATCTCTACCTGTGAAACATTGTTAGACTGCCTGGCTAGGAGTTCATTGTTGTTTTCTGAAGGACGTAACCAACCACTCCAAAACTTACAGGCTTAAAACAACAAACATGTATCATTTCTTATGATTCTGTGGGTTGGCTGGGTGGTTCTTCTGGCTGAGGCAGGATGGTCTAGGATAGCTACATCCACATGTCTGGGGTCCCAGCTGAGATGACTGGGGCTGTTGAGGCCTTTCTCCCTGTGGTGTCATCCTCCAGAAGGCTGCCCAGATTTGTCCATATGGTAGCAGGAGTTTCCTCGAAGCAAGAGAGGGCAAGATCCAACACAGAAGCACTTTTCAAGCTCTGTTTCCATCACATTTGCCAATGTCTCACTGATGAACACAAGTTCCATGGCCAAGTCCAGTTTTAAGAAATGGAGAAATAGGGCTTGGCTCAGTGGCTCATGTCTGTAATCCCAGCACTTTGGGAGGCCAAGGCATGCGGATCATTTGAGGTCAGGAGTTCCAGACCAGCCTGGCCAACATGGTGAAAACCCATCTCTACTAAAAATACAAAAATTAGCTGGGTGTGGTGGCGGGCATCTGTAATCCCAGCTATTTGGGAGGCTGAAGCACAAGAATTGCTTGAACCCAGGAGGAGGAGGTTGCAATGAGCCTAAATCGCACCACTGCACTTCAGCCTGGGCGATAGAGCCAGACTCAGTCTCAAAAAAAAAAAAGGGGAGGGGGAAATAGATGCCATCTCTTTATGGGAGGAGCTACAAAATATGGTGACCAATTTTTCAATCTACCACAGGAAGCACCCTCAGTCCTCTGAAACTAAGTCTGGTAGATGTCCTGGGGTCTTAAAACATGGCTCCGATGATATCACCAAAGACAAGTGGCAAAACTGTATAGGGCAGGGCAGTCTTATCATTTGTTTAATAGTGATCCAAAGGATTTACTTTGGAGGAATCAAGACACTCGAGATGAAGAAGTTTTGATGCTTGTTAAACAGTCCATTTGGATACCTCTTAGCTATCCCCGAGGGATGAATCTGACTTCTCATTTCACAGGATTCACCGTAGATAATGGTTGTAATTCCTACCGGAAGTTCCTGGCCAGAAGCCCAGCAGAAAGATTCAGTATATATAGAAAAGATGGCTCCAAGAACAGTTGGGCCTTCTGTTCTAACTGTACTTCCTTCTTTGATGTACTCGTCTAGTCCCGAGGCTTTAGATGCCAAGTCTTTGATAATAACGTGTATCTAAGTGCCTACTGGACATTTTCATGTCTCAAACTTAACATGTCCAAATTGAAACTCTTGATTCTGCCCCCAAACTTGTTTGAACCCCAGTCTTCACAGAAAACTCATCCTTAATTCTTTGATTTTTCTCTTTTTCTCAGCCTCCTTGTCTAATCTAGCAGCAGATCCTAGGGTTTTACTTCTAAATATATCTCAAATCTGATCATTTTTCTCCATTTTCATTGGCATGACCTTGGTCCAGGCCACCATTGTTTTCTGCCCTAGAGAGCTACCACAGAGTTCCTAACATTTCCCTACTTACGTAATTACTCCACTCTAGTCCATTCTGTCTCACAGGAGTAACATTTTTTATATATATATATATATATATATATATATATATATATATATATATATTTTTTTTTTTTTAATAGAGACGGTCTTGCTATGTTGCCCAAGCTGGTTTCAAATTCTGGCCTCAAGCGATCCTCTTGCCTTGGCCTCCTGAGTCACTAGGATTGTACGTATGAGCCACCGCATCCAGCCTCAATGGCAATCTCTTAAAAATCTAAATAAATGAACGGCTCAGTAACACTGAGGTTTACTTCACACAAAAACAATCCAAACCTTGGCAAGACGGTGAAACCCTGTCTCTACAAAAAATACAAAAAATTAACTGGGCAAAGTAGCCTGCACCTATAGTCCCAGCTACTTGGGAGGCTGAGGTGGGAGGATCGATTGAGCCCTGGAGGTCAAGAATACAGTGAGCCATAGCCATGATTGTACACTGTGCCACTCCAGCCTGGGTGACAGAGCAAGACCCTGTCCCCCTCTCAAAAAAAAAAAAAAAAGAAAGAAAGAAAGAAAAAAAAGAAGAAAAGGAAAGAAATGAAGAGAATTCAGAGACTTCCATTATTATTAATACCTATTTTATTGATTCTGTTTCTAGCCCTGAGTCCGCTCCTAACTTGCTATAGGATCTCTGGTAAATCATTTCCTGTAATAAGCAGCTGTCACCTCTCTCCTTGTTTCTTCCAGAAATAGTAATCTCTTCTTTAGTAGTACTACTACTCCCTAACCCAAACCAGGTGATTCTAGTGAAGACTGTCAATAAACGGAGCATGTGATCAAGCAGGGCCCATCAGAATCCTTCCCTAAGATTTTTATAAAAAGCTGGACCTATTCTTTTTCCATTTGAGTGGCAAATATTTGAAGATATGAGGTCTAAAGCTGTGATGGCTTATTCTCCATCCCTGTGTAAATTCTGGTCTATAGTAAGCGAAAACAAGGCCATTAGGCAGAGGGCAGCAGAGACATAAGGTGAGAAAGAGTGTGGTCTCTGGTTTTCTAGACCCTGATTCTGGTTTGGAGGCTTGGCTGATCACCTCTTCCTTTGATTCTGATAGAAAGCTCAATGTATCTTTCTAATAAAACCCCCCTTTGCTTTGCTTGTTGGAGTTAGGTTCTTATCCCTTGCAACCAAAAATATATTGTCTCTTCTTTTGTTCTCAGTTTTCTCATTTATATATCCTTCTAGCTCCAAAGCACAGAAATTCTAAAACAAACAAACAAACAAACAAAAACAAACAAAAAAAACCTGGGTCATTCAGAAAATCCCACTGATATAGACTTTCTGATCCAGAATGTATAATCTGAAAAGAAGCCTACCCTCGTCTCCATCCTCTCTTCTTGTACCTGAAGGAACGAAGAAGAGGGATTTCTCAAGGTGAGAAGCAGTTCTCCATGGACACTGATGACAGCACAGGCAAAGTTTCCTATGACTAGGGATCACTGTCCACACAGAGTCTGGCTTCCCAGGTATCCAGCAGGTAGACAAAACAGCTAACTCCACTGCCACTCCTTTCTCCACATCCGTTCCTATTTCTCAGCCATCTCAGTGACATCCGCCATCTTGAGAGTCAACTACTGACTGGACTGAGTTGTGTGGTATATGCTTCTGTTTACTTCTCTTCTGTCTTTTTTAAGTGGCCAAATAGCAAACGCTTAAATAGGAAATCTCTGGGAGACTTGAATAAAAGACTTTGCTTGGTAGAAAATCATGTCACAGAAAGGCTAATAGACAGCAAAGTAAATCAGCAAGTCCCTGAGCAGTAGGATTAGGATTCCTGTCTCCTTTCAGATTCAAATGCATCTGTTTCTGGGGTTAACAGTGGACTGTTAAGAGGCTGTGCAGCTTGGGTTAAGTCATTCTTATCTCTGGGCTTCAGGAGCTTAGACCAGATAGTTTCTACAGGCTCTCTTGGTGCTGATGCCTTGGGATTCTGTGGCTGTTTTCTGTAAGATCTGCAAGGGGGAAACAGGATTTTGGCAGCAATCCTTTCATTACTAAAGCTTCCTTTCTTTTCGGGTACAGTGAAAAGAGCCAAGGCTGTGTGACCCCCTCATCACTTAGCCAGGCGTATGGTCCTGGTTTCTGAGGCTGCCAGAAAGCATCTTAGCAATTTGTGTTTGGATGGTCCATGCCTGACTATTCTAGGCTGGAGGTTCCTAAAGAGTAACAAGAGGAAGAGAAACAAGAATCTCTGACACTTGTTGAGAATAGAGCACAGTCCCATTTGTTTGAAAAGAGACACCAGGCAGCCATGTTTATGTGCCAGAAATGCATTCCACCTCAAGGAGGACTTAATTTATGGACCCGTGTGTGCCAGGCTGAGCTGGGCAAGATCTTTCTCAGGACAAACTCTGCCATGCAGCTAAAAGCCTGGAAACTAAAGGATTTCATGTAGTAAACTATCTTCCAACCCCTGTAGACATCAGACCACAGGATGAGGTTTCAGAAGGTCATAAGGCAGAATAGTTAAGCCTACAGGGCTTACAGTCTGACAGACCTGGGTTCAGTTCTTGGGTCTTCATCACTAGTTTTGTGACTTCGGGAAGATGACTCCCGGAGCCTCAGTGAGCCTCAGTTACTTCATATGTAAATGAAGTAATACTATCTACTTCACAAGGCTGTTGAAAGGATTAAATGGAGAATGGGTGTAAAACCCTTAGTGCAGTGCCGTGCACACACAGTAGATGCCGAACGTGTGATGTTGGCACTACACAATGTGTAATCCCAATCAGGCAGAGCTAGGCAGGCAAATCTAATCCAGGATCTTTGTAAGGGGACTGAGAACCAGAGACTGGAGAAAGCCAGTGTAAACACCATGAGCAAAGGAGCAAGAGAAGGGGCATTGTGTAAGTAGGAGATGGAGCTTGAACTTACTAAGTGGATCAGGGTAGAAGAATCCAGTCAGGACCAAGGGAGGAGAGTCCAGGAAAATGCCATGAGCAGCTCTGTAGCATGACCTTGTTGGGCTGGGTTAAAGTAGGGTCTGCCACCAGTCATGTGACAGAAAGGTACCTCATGCACTTCCTCCTTCCCCCAGAAATCAGCCTCCAGGAGTGAGGAATGAGCCCAGAATGAGAGTTTAGAGTGCTCCAGAGCCTTTGTTAGAGGTGCCCTCCGACATTCAGAAAACCAGGATTCCAGAGACCTGGGTTTGAGTCCTGACTTTGCAGCATACTAACTGTGTGATCTTGAACCAACATATTTTCACCTAATGAGGCTGACAATCTTCCCTACTTCACAAAATAGTTATGAGAGTCAAATAAAAGTACATTTTAGAAAGTGAAATGCTGTGGACATTTAAGGTGGAGCCACTGTGAGAGTCTAGGGGGATAGATGGTATTCGTCTCAGAATGAAACGAATACACCCCTCTCAGAGCCCTTTCCAAGGATCCCCTCCTTCTTTCAGCTCCTTCCCTCCACCTCAATACACACTCCTGTCCCAGGAACCTAACCTCATCTAGAAATACCAGGGCCAGCATGCCTTACACCTAGAGGTTTGGTTGGCTTCAGAGAAACTTCTGGAGGCTAAAAGCAGCCAAGAAGAATCAGCCACTACATGCTGGGCCTGGATGAACAGAGCAGTGAGCTGTGATGGGGCTGGGGCTGGGGCCCAGGAGGAGCAGGCAGGAGAGTTTGTATGCACCGTGATTCAAATATTATAACAAAAATCATCGATCATGTGTTAGGCACTTTACAGTTCCCAAAGCACTTTCCCATCCATGCCCTGATGATCTTTGACACAACACTGTGATGTGGGTTTTATTATTTCCAGTACAGATGAGGAAGACTGAGGCCTGCATCAGTGAAGCAACCTATCCAAGACTACATAGAGAAGGCAGTAAATGGCAGGGTTAGTCTCAGAACAGGGGAGGGTCTGTTCCCCCCGCAGTGGGCAGTCCTAATTCTGAACTTCACCTATCTGGGGGTGATAGAGGGGAACAAGAGGAAGCCTGCTGAAGAGAAAACCTAAACATCTGTTTTGTCTACGTATGACTTCCTCTGCTTGTGGGAGAGAAGGAAGGAAAGGAACACATTGTTGTCAGCCCCACAACCCCAACAGAATTAAACCCTGGAGCAGGTTGAACAGCAGAGGCTTCCCTCAGATCAAGGAGCCAGGAGCAGATGATCTATCTCTGTGGCCACACAGAGAGATGTCACCTTATGCAATTTGCATATCATATTCAATTCCCCCAACTGCTCTTTCTAATTTATTCAACTGGGGACCAGGCTGGTCTCATGCCAACCTAGGAGATGTACCATAGCAGTATGAGCAGAATTCCTCAGGAGGAACAATTAGCAAAAACTGCAGTTGCCTCTCGATAGGCCTGAGCAGAGAGAGGAACAATAGCTCTCACGTCTCTCCTCATCAGATTCTAACTAAGCAGATGTTCTCATGCTTTTTTCTTCTTCCTATGTTCTGTATACTGACACCTCTTCTCAGTGGCATATGAAATATGAAATGTCATGTGTTGTGAGTTTGTATAAATATAAAGGAATATATATACACAGTAGCAAAAGAGAAGATCTCATTTACAAATATCTATGGTGTTTCCTTGTTCTGTGTTGATCTGTTTTATTGATACAAACTGAATTTTCTTAATGTATCTTCTATCTCTATTATAGTGGCAATGATGGTATATGCATTAAAGTTCTTCTGAATTGTGTATCATTTGTAGAGTGACTCTTTCCTGAGTTTGTGCTAAGAACTTTGGGCAGAGGAGGCTGGGCGCAGTGGCTCATGCCTGTAATCCCAGCACTTTGGGAGGCCAAGGCAAGTGGATCACTTGAAGTCAGGAGTTCAAGACCAGTCTGGCCAACATGGCAAAATCCCATCTCTACTAAAAATACAAAAATTAGCCAGATGTGGTGGTGGGCACCTGTAAATCCCAGCTCAACTGGGGAGGCAGAGGCAGGAGAATTGCTTGAACCCAGGAGGCAGAGGTTGCAGTGAGCCGAGATCGCTCCACTGCACTCCAGCCTGGGTGACAGAGTGATACTCTGTCTCAAAAAAAAAAAAAAAAAGAACTTTGGGTACAGATTCTTGCATTCAGAAATCTTTAAGAGGAACTGGGAAACAGGTCCAGCACCAGTGCAACAAAAGACACAATATGATGCAATAGCTCATGATGGACTCAGGAAAGGGGGAGATCAGGATGGACTACAACAGTCAGGGAAGGCTTCATGGTGAAGGAAGGACTGACATTGCAAGAGGTCAGGGAATGCCTATTAGTGTGCACTTCTGGAGACCTGCTGGGCTGTGGCTCTGTGCTAGGTGGTGTAGAGGTTGCAGAGAATAACAAGGGGCAATGTGTGCCTCCCAGCAGCTTAGCTCAGTGTTAGCTCATAGCAGAGATTTAAGATACACTGCTGGATGGCACGTGGGAACAAAGCTGCTGAGCTGGAAAGTAGAGAGCCCACAGGAAAATGAAACCAAATGTAGACAGAACTGGCAGCCCCAGGAAGGGGCAGAACCTGCTCCCTACCCCCACCTCTCCTCAAAAAGTTTAATGAGTCTAAGTAGGCGGGATATTCAGTCCAATTTTACACCTATCTCCACCATGATGTGCTAGGAAACCTTTCCCCTTTCTTAGCCTAGTTAACTCCTACTCATCTGCCAGGACTCAGGCATGGAGACCCTGGTGGGCCAGGGAGGACACAGAGCTTTGGAAGCACAGAGCAGAGATAACGGAGGTGTCAGAGATGCATTCAGAGATTGGAATTCCTTCCTTCCTTCCTTCCTTCCCTTCCCTTCCTTCCTTTCCTTCCCTTTCTTCCTTTTCTTTCTTTTCTTTCCTCTCTTTCTTTTTTGGCATTTTAAAGAGTCCCTAGATAGGATTCTTTCAGTTACAGGACAGAGACCCACTTTTAGTAGTCACACAGTAAAAGAGGGGATCATGGCGGGAGGGAAATTTGTTAGCTCATGTTACTTATAAAGTCCTGGGCTATATCTAGCTTTAGGCTTAGATAGAAGCAGGTGACTAAATTATATTATCAGGATTCTCTCTCTTAGCATCAGTTTTCTCTGGGTCAGCTTTATTCTCAGGCCACTCCGGGCTTATCCTATTCATATAGCCATCTGGACAGAGAGAATGGCTCTCCTTCAGTAGTTTTGGCAAAAGTCCCGGTCATGTTTAGAATAGTCTAGGATTAATCATTATGCCAGGGGATGGGGTGTTCTGGTTGGCCAACACTAGATTTTATGCCAATCTCAAGTTGGAATGTGGGGTCAGTCCCACCCAAACCAGAGGAACTGCAAGTGGGAGAGGGATGGTTGCCCCAAAGGAAAATTAGGGTGCTGTTTCCACAAGAGAAGAGAAGAGAAGAGAATAGATGTTGTCCAGGCAAACATACCAGCTAGTCACAGGAGCTACAGAATCAGATCATTCCACAAAAGACATCCAAAAACTGGACTGAGAATGAGAATGGGTTATACCCTCAGGATATGGGGATGGAAGGAATAGGATGGGTAGGAATGTGGGGAGGGGCAGAGTGGAAGCAGCCAGCTGAGGGCAGAGTAGTCGAAGGTCAGTACATATGATTGAACAGGCTGTGTCCTGCTGAGTGGGCCAGAGGGAGGCTAAATCGGGGTTGAAATCAGCCTAGATTCCAAGTGCAAAGCCTTGGGTCCTGGTGTGGAGCTGCACTAGGAGAAAGGGCTCTTTGGTGTAATTCACACAAGGGTGCTGTCTCCTCACTAAGCCATGAGCATAGGGGCAGCATCCATCCAGAGCGGGCACAAATGTCTCCATTCTGCACAAAGATGCAGTCATGGGTTGAATTGTATCCTCCCAAAAGATATGTTGAAGCCCTAACCTCTGGTACCTGTGTGTGTGACCTTATTTGGAAATAGCATCTTGGCAGATGTAATCAAGTTAAGATGAGGCCATACTGCATTTGGGTAGACCCTAAATCCAACGACTGATGTCTTTAGAAAAGGGATGAGAGGGAGATTCAGACAGAGGGACAAAGGGAAGAAGGCTTTCCAGGGATGGAGTCAGGGATTGGAGCACTGCAGCCATGAGCCAAGGAATGCAAAGGATTGCTGGCAGCCACCACAGGCAAAGAGATGGGCATGGAGCAGATGCTCCCTCAGAGCCTCCAGATGCATCCAGCCCTGTTGACACCTTGATTTTGGACTTCCAGCTCCAGAACTGTTAAGAGAATCTGTTTCTGTTTTTTGAAGCCACCTAGTTTTGTGGTACTTTGTGACAGCAGCCCTAGGAAAGGAATCCAGGTGCTATATGAGCTAGCAGCAGGCTGAGAGTAAAGCTGCCGCCCGCCCTGCCTCCTCAGTGTCCTGGTGGAAGATAGAAACACTTGAGGTACCCAAGAGATCCCAGCAGAAGTATGAGGGCCTCCTCATGGGCACTACTGCCTGCAATATCCTGGAAGTGCCTGTTTCCTCTACCTTCACACACAAAGTAAACAGTATTTTGAAACTATAGGGCTACCAGAAAAATGAGAGTCAAGCTTTCATTGGTTTGAGAAGATGACTAGGGCACACTTTATTTATTTATTTATTTATTGTTTATTTTGGGGGGCACACTTTAGATGAGAGCCTCTGCATATACTATTCTTTGTACTCCTCTGTCCACCAAGCTCAGTTAGGTACCTCCTCTGGGAAGCCACAGCCCCTTTTCCTTTCCTTTGCCATAGAACTTCCTGTGCCATATTGTAATTTTCTGGTTATCTGTGGAGTAGATTGTCCAATGATGCAGAATACATTTTCCTGTGAAGTGAAACAAATAAGCAGTAGGCAAATAGCCATTAAGGGGTCTGGGGACCTCCTTAAACAAAGGAAATGAGACTCCAGTAGCTTCACCAAGATGCAGAATTGTTGAAGTGTGTTAAGGTAAACCACAGTGGCTCTGAACACAGGCCAGTAGCAGGAACGGGCAACAAGTCCCTGGAATGTCACTTCCTTAGAGAAGTGACCCTATCACATACCTTCATCTTTTTGTTTTGTTTTGTTTTTTGACGTGGAGTCTTGCTCTGTTGCCCAGGCTGGAGTGCAATGGCATGATCTCGACTCACTGCAACCTCTGCCTCCCGTATTTAAGCGATTCTCCCACCTCAGCCTCCAGAGTAGCTGGGATTACAGGCATGTGCCACCATGCCCGGCTAATTTTTGTATTTTTAGTAGAGACAGGATTTCGCCACGTTGGCCAGGTTGGTCTCGAACTTCTGACCTCAGGTGATCTGCCTGCCTCGGCCTCGCAAAGTGCTGGGATTGATTACAGGCGTAAGCCACCACGCCCGGCCTACCTTCATCTTATTTTGTTTTCTTCATTGCATTTATCATCATGAAATTATTTTATTTGTTTCATGAAATTTCCGTGATAACAGAGATCTTGCCTGTTTTGTTCACGCAGTACTGTCAGAGGCCTGGGCAAGTTACTTAGCCTCTGTTTTACTTAAAACCTCTGTTACAAAATCTCTCATTGATAAATGTACCAACCCCTTAGGGTGATTCTGAGGATTAAATGAGTTAATATTAGAACTTAGATCAATTCTAGCTAACATTTATATTGCTCTTACTAGGTTCCAAGCACTATTCTAAGCCCTTTATATATTCATCAATTTAATCCTCACAACAACCTTATTAGACAGGTTCTATTATTATCCTTATGGTAATATTATTATCCCCAATTTATGATGAGGAAACAAAGAGGACAGTTAATCAGCCTAAGGTGATACAGTTAGTAAACACACAGCTGGGATTGAACTCCCAGAGTTTCCACCCTTAACCTCTACATTGTACTTCTGCCTAGTATAAATCCTTCTTGAATGAATACAGTTACCAAGAAAATGGAAATAGATGGAAGCAATGAACTAACTCAGGAATCAGGACAGGTATTGAAGGGGAACAGTGGCTTGGGATGTGTCAGTGATACTGGAATTTGCATCTATTCTAACGGAAAATGGCTATGAGGGTCAATTTACAATGCAGTAAGGAGGAAGGAGCAAGGTAATTCTTGGCTGAGTGTAGCACTGGAGTAGGGTATTGTCTTCCTTCACATCCTGAAGAGCCTCTGAAACCTGGGCAGGGATTCACACTGATAGCAAGAATACGGACTGGTGCTGGAAACACAGCCCCCATCACATCTCATGGGACACATTCAAAGGAACCCACTCCAGCACTGGCAGTAAGAGAAGCAAAGAAGAGGACCTCTCTCAACCATCCACGTTTCAACCTCCTCTGGCCTTGGCAGCTGCACCCAGTGTTTTATGGGATACTACTGGGAGATCCTTTAAGATACAGAGTGTTAGGTGACCCAGCTAGTTATGTGAGTCTTTGCCACCACTAGTAGTGAGCTTCTGGAGGTTGGGGAAGAACGTTTTGTTTCCTTTTCAATCCCCGGGTCCCACACAGGTTCTGGCACATTGAGGGTATCCAATACCCATTTTTTGAATGAAGAGAACCGAATGCTTATTCTGAACAGATGGGATGATACCTAGACAAGGAAGTTGCTGATAACTTAGACGTTTTAGCTGAAGGGTAGTGGTAATGATGGTGTTTTGGAAGGACATTGAAAGAATGGAGAAATCATAGTCTAGCTAGTTCTAGAGAGGTGTGTGAAGAAAACTGTTTAATCCATCACAAATTTAAAGTCCTTCCTGGTCCAAGGTCTTATTTAAATCCTTTCCTAAAATCTCTGCAGTCTGCTTAAGTTGGAGAATTCTTTTCCCTATTTTTATTCAAGAATGAGTTGGTAACAGTAAACAGAGTCCACTATTGCACACCTATTGGAACTGTTTTTCTTTTCTTTTTGGGGGCGAGGGGCAGTGTCAGGGTCTCACTCTGTCACCCAGGTTGGAGTGCAGTGGTGCAATCATAGCTTACTGTAAACTTGAACTACTGGGCTTAAGCAATCCTCCCACCTCAGCCTCCCAAGTAGTTAGAACTCCGGCACATGCCACCATGCCTGGCTAATTCAAAAACAATTTTTTTGAGAGATGGGATCTCGCTATATTGCCCAGGCTGGTCCTGAACTCCTGGCCTCAAGTGATCCTTTCACGTCAATCTCTCAAATTACAGTCATGAGCCACAATCCCCAGCCAGGGAGCCGTTTTTCCAACTCCCAGCTTTTGCAAGAGCTGCCTGAATAAAAATTGTGCCTATAGAAAGGGAGGCCTCTAGCCCCTCCTTAATGGTGTGCTTCTGCTTTGCACAGTGGATATATAGGATGTCTTTGAATCAGCTATTAATTGTCTACATTAAATACTTGGGTTGTCTCTGTATGACTCAATAAACCAACTCTTTAAAAGAACAGTAGCTAAAAATAAGTAGCTATTTTCAACATAGGTGTGTGTGTGTGTGTGTGTGTACAATATGCATATGTATATATATATATATTTTACCCATCACATGAGCAGATTTCTTTACATTATATTAAAAATATGATTCTAGAAATACTTCTGTTCCATAAGACTGCTCAACCTCAGCAAGTTAGATCTGCATAAATATCTCTTGACTACTAGGATCAGCGTCACCCCTTTCCCTTCCTTCACTTGTTCCCTCTTCCAAAGGACTCCACTTATCTTTGTTTGTGCTGCTATAACAAAATACCCAAGACTGGGAAATTTATAAATGGTACAAATTTATTTCCTCACCGTTCTGGAGGCTGGAAAGGCTCCATCACAACTGGTGTCTGGTGAGGGCTATTCTCTGCTTCCAAGATGGCACCTTGTTGCCGCAACCTCTGGAGGGGAGGAATGCTGCATCCCCACAAGGTGGAAAAAACAGAAGGGGCAAAAAGGGCAAACCCTCTCCAGGAAGCAAGCCCCCCCTTTTTTTTGAGATGAAGTCTTGCTCTGTCGCCCAGGCTGGAGTGCAGTGGTACAATCTTGGCTCACTGCAACCTCTGCCTCCTGGGTTCAAGCAATTCTCTTGCCTCAGCCTCCCAAGTAGCTGGAACTACAGGCACCCACCACCACACCTGGCTAATTTTTGTGTTTTTGGTAGAGATGGGGTTTCACCATGTTGGCCAGGCTGGTCTCGAACTCCTGACCTCAGGTGATCCGCCCACCTTGGCCCCCAAAAGTGCTGGGATTACAGGCATGGGCCACTGCGCCCGGTCCCAGCAAGCCCTTTTTTTTTTTTTTTTTTTTTGAGATGGAATCTCACTCTGTTGCCAGGCTGGAGTGCAGTGGCACTCAGGGAATAATTTCCTAGGAGTACTGAGTCATTCATTCATTCAACAAATATTATAGAGTACTTACTATGTGCTTCATATGATGAGAGTAACTAAGGATAAGAGTATGAATCAGGACTAGTGGAGCTTGGCGGGGAGAGACATATAAACCAATAAATGTGATATCAGAGTTAAAGACAGTCATAAAAACAACAAAAGTACTGTGGGCATCCAAAGGAAAGGAAGGGCTGGTTTGATCTCAGGGTTGTCCTCAGCCACAGAGGATGGCACTTTAGAGCTAATATTTCTAAATTCCAACAGGCGCCCCCCTGTTTCTCTGGGATGATTTATTAATAAAGATTTATTAAGAACCAAGTGTGGTGGCTCACGTCTATAATCCCAGCACTTTATTTGGGAGGCTGAGGCAGGTGGATCACCTGAGGTCAGGAGTTCGAGACCAGCTTGGCCAACATGGTGAAACCCCGTCTCTACTAAAAAAAAAAAAAAAAAAATTAGCCAGGCGTGGTGGTGGGCGCCTGTAATCCCAGCTACTTGGGAGGCTGAGGCCTCATCCAGCCCGGGTGACAAGAGCAGGACTTCATCTCAAAAAAAAAAAACAACAAAAAACCTGGCACGGTGGCTCATGCCTGCCATCCCAGCACTTTGGGAGGCCAAGGCAGGTGGATCACCTGATGACAGGAGTTTGAGAACAGCCTGACCAACGTGGTGAAACCCTGTCTCTACTAAAAAAATACAAAAGTAGCCGAGCGTGGTGGCAAGTGCCTGTAATCTCAGCTACTGGGGAGGCTGAGGCAGGAGAATCACTTGAACCCAGGAGGCGGAGGTTGCAGTGAGCCAAGATCGTGCCATTGCACTCCAGCCTGGGCAACAGAGCAAGACTCAGTTTCAAAAAAAAAAAAAAATCTGTATTCATAACCAATGCATCTCATTGCTTCTTGCCCTCAATTGATCCTCCTGGGATTAGCAACAATCTCTCTGAAATTTCTTCATTTTTCCCCATTCCATTGATATTGCTGCAATTTTTTTTTTTTTTTTTTGAGACGGAGTCTCGCTCAGTTGCCCAGGCCGGAGTGCAGTGGCACAGCTCACTGCAAGCTCCGCCTCCCAGGTTCACACCATTCTCCTGCCTCAGCCTCCCGAGTAGCTGGGACTACAGGTGTCTGCTACAACGCACAGCTAATTTTTTGCATTTTTAGTAGAGACGGGGTTTCACCGTATTAGCCAGGATGGTCTCCATCTTCTGACCTTGTGATCCGCCTGCCTCGGCCTCCCAAAGTGCTGGGATTATAGGTATGAGCCACCGTGCCCAGCCTATTGCTGCAATTTACACCATCAACTTACCTCACCAGAAGAGCCTAGTAGTTAAGAACACAGGTTCTGGAAACAGACTATGTAGATTTGAATTCTGGCTCACTAGCTGTGCATTTTTGGGAAAATTACTTAATCGCCTTAATCTCTCTATATCTCAGATTCCACATCTGTAAAGGAGGGATACTTCTTAGGGTTGCTGTGAGAATTAAATGAGTTAATATATATAAACTGCTTAGAAGAATGCCTGGGAGGCAATAAATGCTAGCTACCATACTATTCTTGGTTTCTTTCTGTTTCAGAGTCCTGCAGGAATCAGATGGCACACTCAAACTAGATAATTTGAGGAGTGCTTAATAAAGGAATCATTTACAAAATGAGTGCAGGGTTTAGAGAGACCAAAAAGGGATACAAAATTTCCCCAGTGCTAGCTAGCAACAGCTAGCTAATCATCACTACCCAAAGGTAGTAACAAGGGATGTGGGGGGAGTGATTTGATTACCAGAATCTGAAGAGGGCAGTTGTGTGGCAGATGCTGTCTGCTAAGAGCAGTGACCTTTGGTGGAGAGAAATGTCCTCACACAAAGACTCGCTAGGGAGGGAGGTGGGGGATAAATTATTGGACCTGTCTTTCCCCATGACCTCTGATCTCCTACTGCTATCTCCCAATGCCGGACTCAACCAAAAGCCAGAGGGCAAAGGAGTCCAGCAGGAGCCCACATAGGTCAAACTTCTGGGATATGCAGCAGGTAAGTAGAGGGAGTACAGCAGGTCTTCGAATAATGTCATTATGTTCAACGACGTTTCATTATAACGTTGATGAAAAAAATAGATTCCTGGCAGAGGCCACCGTGTGTGAAGTCTGCACATTCTCCTCATGACTGCGTGGGTTTTCTCTGGGTACTCCAATTTCCTCCCACATCCCAAAAATGTGCACATTAGGTGAACTGGTGTGTCTAAATGGTCCCAGTCTGAGTGAGTGTGGCGTGTGGGAGAGTGTGCCCTGTGAGGGAATGTCGTCCTGTCCAGGACTGGTTCCCGCTTTGTGCTCTGCTTCTGGGATAGGCTCTGGCGACCTGTAACACTGACCTGGAATAATTGGGAAAATAATTATCTTATACTTGTTTTTATTAATCTTTCTTAAATGTATGTATAGCTCACATTTATTATATTTCAAGGTTTAATATTAGAAGTGTTTTGGGTCTTTATTTAGATGTTTGATGTTTCGTGACCAGAAATATGCCATAGGAACTTATTTATATCAATTAGCCTACAGCTAAATTGATTTCTTTATATATTGTTTCCCTTAGTCACGGTTTCCAAGAATCTATCGATGACATTGAAGACTTACTGTATCTGGAGATGCAAACAGAAAATATCTAGCACACCTTCCCCCTAGCCTTGCCCTCCTCCGTTCTTTGTCTTGCAGTCATGAATGATCTTTCTAAAGCAGGAAATGATATTGTTCTGCCTCATCTGATGCATGTTGGTAGCTCCCCCTCTCTCAGGATAAAGTCTATACTCCTTAACATAAAATGCAGGGCTTAATAATTATCTCCAGTTCACCCCTCCAGTTTTAACTCTCGCCATTTTCCTCTCAACCTTTCCGGTTGAGCCATATGCAATTACTTTCAAACCTACAAGAGCATTCCTTTCTTTGACCTTTCTCATGTCCTGGAACTCTGCCTGGAATCATCCTTCTCCCCTTTCATTCTTCTTCACTTAACTAATTCTTACTCATCCTTTATTTATACATAGAAGGGGTTTCTCTTACCCAGCTAGATTTTGGGGGAATCTAAGCTCTGTTTCTGTGGCAATGCTTTTTTTTTTTTAGATGGATTCTCGCTCTTGTCACCAGGCTGGAGTGCAGTGGTGCAATCTCTGCTCATTGCAACCTCCGCCTCCCAGGTTCAAGTGATTCTCCTGCCTCAGCCTCCTGAGTAGCTGGGATTACAGGCATGAGCCATCACACCCGGCCAGTAGCAATGATTTTCTAAGTTCTGAAAGTAGTGGCATGTTAAGGCTGATATTTGGTAGTATTTTCATCTTTTATGCGGATTTTTTTTTATTCTCATGAGGTTCTAATTATATATGATAGGTACTTAGCCTACAAGGCGGTACTGAAAGTAATGAGTTGAGTTTTTAATGAGCTTATCAATATATAACTTCAAAGGGCTCATTTGAAAACCACTGAAACCTAATCTATATTCCTGGAATCTTGGGATGCTAAGATAGACTTCTAGGAGTCTTATTTACATTGAGAAATATGGGAGCTATTTCCCATATTTCCCAATGAGAAATATGGGAGCTATGATAAGTATTCCTTTTGGAAAGATGACTGGGCTCTGACAGACAGGAAATCAGTCACATGAGTGGAATGTAGACAAAACCTGCTTTTGGTCTGTGGGCTGAAGGATGAGAAGAAAATAAAATGTAATAAAGGTTTGTTTTTTCAAAACTATATAGTCATCTTCTATGTACCAGATAACATATTTTCTCCAAGTAGAAGTGAATTCACAATATTAAAGAACTTCTAGGCTGGGCACAGTGGCTCATGCCTGTAATCCTAGCACTTTGAGAAGCCGAGGCGGGAAGATTGCTTGAGCCTGGCCAACATGGTGAAACCACCCACCTCCCCCAAACTCCGACCCCCACAGAACCTCCCCACTTCCCCCACTCCGTCTCTACAAAAAATACAAGAATTAGCTGGGTGTGGTAGCACATGCCTGTGGTCCTAGCTACTTTGGGGGGCTTAGGCAGAAGGATGGCTTGAATCCCAGAGGTAGAGGCTGCAGTGAGCTGAGGTCGTGCCACTGCACTCCAGCATGGGCGACAAAGTGAGACCCTGTCTCAAAACAAAACAAAACCAAAACCAGAACAACATCTATTGAATGCTCCTTTGTCTGACTCTTTTTTTGACAACAAAACCCAAAACAAACAAACAAACAAACAAACAAAAAACCCCAAAGGCTCTCATAATGGAGGAACATGGGTGGTGGTTTAAAGGGAGATAGGATGTGTCCTGGCAAAATCAAGATGGAAAGTCTGCTTCTTCTTCCCCCTTAAGACCAAACATTCTTGTTGAAGAAGACACCCACTTCTGTGTCTCTAGCTCCACCTTGAGGTTTATCAAGAAATCACCTATTCCGGCCACAACGGGTGAATTAGGTTAAAAAGAGCCGAGATCTTTATGCTGTGCCAACAGCTCTTGAACTTGTACTTTGGGCCAGGCTCTGTAATAAGTGCTCTTTGAACATAATGACATTTAATCCTCACAATAATCTTATAACAAATGTATTTTATAATGAGGAAAATTAAGATTAAGAGAGTTTCAAGAATTCAGGACTGGTATAAGATCACACAAGTGGCAGAGTCAGGATTTGAACCCAGCATCTTCTAGGCCTTCGTTTTCGTTCACAAGTGTCTGTGTATACACTCATGTGCACATCTATCACACATGTTTTTCTTTTCCTTTACAACACACCTGTACATCAATCATTTTATTTAATTCTCACAACAACTCTATTAAGTGGGAATTAATATCCCTTTTTGGAAGAAGGTGAGGCTTAGAGAAATAACCTAATTTTCCCTAGGTCATATGGCTCTTAAGCAGTGAGTTTAACCCAGGGCTCCTTTCTCAACTATATGAATAACATGCAACTTCTCAAGCTGACTTGTGATGACTCCTCACAACTTCTTGTCAGTAGCTCCTTGATATTACCAAAGAATTCATCTGAAGACTTGCAAAACCCCCTACTTTAGGAGTGACACTGTAGAACATAATGTCCAAACAAGACACATGTACAATGAGAAGAGTACAGTAAAGCAACATTAAGACGTGGATGAGGTGGGGCACAGTGGCGCACGCCTGTAATCCCAGCACCTTGGCAGGCTGAGGTGGGTGGATCACTTGAGCTCAGGAACTCAAGACCAGTCTGAGAAACATGTTGAAACCCCGACATTACAAAAAATACAAAAATTAGCCAAGGATGGTGGTACACATCTATAGTCCCAGCTACTCGGGAGGCTGATGTGGGAGGATTGCTTGAGCTGGGGAGACAGAGGGACTTGGATGCTATAGGAGATTGACTAGGCTGATTTACTTTTCCCACATTTTCCCACAGACCAGCATCATGGTGCATGATCTAAACTGGCCCTGTAATGTTAAAAATTATTCCAGGTCAGGGACCACTGGGGTTCATCACTTTTGATTAATGGAAATGAATATTAATATTAAATCCATTAAATTCAAAATATATTTAGTGATGGTATGCTCCTACTGCTTGAATTTGCATTTTCTTTCTTTTTTTGTGTGATGTCCTCCTTTTGCCTGCAAACACTTTCTGTCCTTCTGCCAATGAAACAGAAAATTTGAGAGTTGTGAGATAAATGGTAACACCAAGTGCTGGAGGAAAGAAGACAGGTATCTGTCTGTACCTGGAGAGCAGGAGAAAGTTTAGAAACAGGGCTAAAGGACTAGGAAGTATTCTCTAGGTATAAATGTCTGGGTGTTAGGGATGGGAGAGAGTTGAGAGGACCTTCCAGGAAGAGGGAAAAGAAAGGGCAGATACAAGGAAGTCCGCACACAGAGTGGTGTGAGTAGGTTGTGTGGCTCCTGATGGTTGAAGTTTAAAATCAGAAGGGAGATTTGAATAGATGCTTACTTCTCAACAGGCTGCTCTGTTTTCTAAATATACCAGAGCAACAGTAAATAAGCATTTAATGCAAAACTTGCCCTCTTAAAACAGTGACTTTGGGATCATCAAAATTGCATTGTAACTGAAGACAACAGAAGCACAGGGGAGTGAATAGATGACCTCAGGACAGCTTATTCTGGGCTGAGATAGAATACAACATTCTCTCTCACTGCTTTTTTTTTTTTTTTTTTAAGTTCTGGGATACATGTGCTGAACGTGCAGGTTTGTTACATAGGGATACATATGCCATGGTGGTTCGCTGCACTTATCTAACCATCATCTAGGTTTTAAGCCCCGCATGCATTCGGTATTTGTCCTAATGCTGTCCCTCCCCTTGCTCCCCACCCCCTGACAGGCCCCAGTGTGGTGTTCCCCTCCCTGTGTCCATGTGTTCTCATTGTTCAACTCCCACAAACGAGTGAAAACATGCAGTATTTGGTTTTCTGTTCCTGTGTTAGTTTGCGGAGAATGATGGCTTCCAACTTCATGCATGTCCCTGCAAAGGACATGAACTCATCCTTTTTTATGGCTGCATAGTATTCTATGGTGTATATGTGACAATTTTTTTTATCTAGTCTATCTTTGATGGGCATTTGGATTGGTTCCAAGTCTTTGCTATTGTAAATAGTGCTGCAATAAACATAAGTGTGCACATATCTTTATAGTAGAATGATTTATAATCCCTTGGGTACATACCCAGTAATGGGATTGCTGGGTCAAATGGTATTTCTGGTTCTAGATCCTTGAGGAATCACCACACTGTCTTCCACAATGGTTGGACTAATTTACACTCCCACCAACAGTGTAAAAGTGTTCCTGTTTCTCTACATCCTCTCCATCTGTTGTTTCCTGACTTTTTAATGAACGCCATTCTAATTGGCGTGAGATGGTATCTCATTGTGGTTTTGATTTGCATTTCTCTAATGACCAGTGATGATGAGCTTATTTTCATAGGTTTGTTGGCCACATAAATGTCTTCTTTTGCAAAGTGTCTGTTCATATCCTTTGCCCACTTTTTGATGGGGTTGTTTGTTTTTTTCTTGTAAATTTGTTTAAGTTCCTTATAGATTCTGGATATTAGACTTTTGTCAGATGGATAGATTGGCAAAATTTTCTCCCATTCTGTAGGTTGCCTGTTTAGCCTGATGATAGTTTCTTTTGCTGTGCAGAAGCTCTTTAGTTTAATTAGATCCCATTTGTCAATTTTGGCTTTTGTTGCAATTGCTTTTGGTGTTTTAGTCATGAAGTCTTTGCCATGCCTATGTCCTGAATGGTATTGCCTAGGTTTTCTTCTAGAGTTTTTATGGTTTTAGGTTTTAAGTTTAAGTCTTTAATCCATCTTGAGTTAATTTTTGTATAAGGTGTAAGGAAGGGGCCCAGTTTCTGTTTTCTGCATATGGCTAGCCAGTTTTCCCAGTACCATTTATTAAATAGGGAATCCTTTCCCCATTGCTTGCTTTTGTCATGTTCGTTGAAGATCAGGTAGTTGTAGATGTGTGGCATTATTTCTGAGGCCTCTGTTCTGTTCCATTGGTCTACATATCTGTTTTGGTACCAGTACCATGCTGTTTTGGTTACTGTAGCCTTGTAGTATAGTTTGAAATCAGGCAGCGTGTTGCCTCCAGCTTTATTCTTTTTGCTTAGGATTGTCTTGGCTATACAGGCTTCTCTTTTGGTTCTATATGAAATTTAAAGTAGTTTTTTTCTAGTTCTGTGAAGAAAGTCAATGGTGCTTGATGGAAATAGCATTGAATCTATAAATTACTTTGGGCAGTATGTTCATTTCTACGATGTCAATTCTTCCTATCCATGAGGATAAAATGTTTTTCCGTTTGTGTCCTCTCTTATTTCCTTGAGCAGTGGTTTGTAGTTCTCCTTGAAGGGGTCCTTCACATCCCTTTTAAGTTGTATTCCTAGGTATTTTATTCTCTTTATAGCAATTGTGAATGGGAGTTCACTCATGATTTGGCTCTCTGCTTGTCCATTATTGGTGTATAGGAATACTTGTGATTTTTGCACATTGATTTTGTATCCTGAGACTTTGCTGAAGTTGCTTATCAGCTTAAGGAGTTTTTGGGCTGAGACTACGGGGTTTTGTAAATATACCATCATGTTATCTGCAAACAGAGGCAATTTGACTTCTTCTCTTCCTTGAATTTGCATTTTCAAGGCAGTCCATAAAGTGGATAACCCAAATGAATGAATTAACGTTTAAACCACAGGCATTTGATGTAGGCCCTAGGAGTAGCTGTTGGTGACAAAATGGTGTAATGGAAAAGCTGTGAGCTTTGTAGTAGGACCTAAGACTGAATTCCTGCTCTGCCACTTGCTAGCTGTGTGTCCTTGGGCAAGTTATTAATGTTTCTGGCCTCAATTTCCTTACCGTTGAATAAGGAGTCAGTGGACTCAGAGGATATTAACTTTTGTAAATCCGTCTTATTTTTCACAGAAAGTAATTGCTAAAGTTGGTATACCAGTAAACGAATTGTCCTGTTGGAATCTAATGACTGATTTTCAATAGATGGAAGGAGTGGTCACACCATGAGTTAAGGTGCGAAAGCACTCAGGAGACCTTTGGGAAGTGAAATTTTAAAGAACATATACACAATAGGCAGAATAATGGCCTCCCAAGGATGTCTACGTCCTAATTCCTGGAATCTGTGAATATGTTAAGATATATGGCAAAGGAGAATGAAAATTGCTGAAGAAATTAAGGTTACTAATGAGCTGAATAGGGAGATTATCTTGGATTATTGGAGTTGGCCCAACGTAATCTCAAGCATCCTTAAAAGTAAAATAGGCCAGGCATAGTGGCTCACGCCTGTAATCCTAGCACTCTGGGAGGCCAAGGTGGGCGGATCATGAGATCAGGAGATCGAGACCATCCTGACTAACACGGTGAGACCTGTCTCTACTAAAAATACAAAAAATTAGCGGGGCATGGTGGCGGGCACCTGTAGTCCCAGCTACTCAGGAGGCCGAGGCAGGAGAATCGCTTGAACCCGGGAGATGGAGGTTGTAGTGAGCCGAGATTGTGCCACTGCACTCCAGCCTGGGCAACAGAGCGAGACACTGTCAAAAAAAAAAAAAAAGTAAAATAGAGAGTCAGAGGAAGATACACTATGGAAGAAAGACAGAGAGATGCAGTGTTGCTTTGAAGATGGAGGAAGAAGAACACACGCTAAAGAATGTGAGCAACATCTGGAAGCTGGAAATAGCAAGGAAACAGACAATCTCCTGGAGCCTTTAGAAAAGAATGCAACTCTGCCGACCCCTTAATTTTAGGCCAGTGAGAACTGTGTCGGACTTCTACAGAACTGTGAAATAATACATTTGTATTGTTTAAGCCACTACGTTTGTGGTAATTTGTTACAGCAGTAATAGAAAACTAATACAACCCACATAAGTCCATCACTGTGTCCAGACTTGTTACCTGTTTCCTATAGTGGAGTGGAAAAACCACTGGACTTGGAAGCTGTGGGGTTTTTTTTGTTTTGTTTCTTGTTTTTTGTTTTTGAGATGGAGTCTTGCTCTGTTGCCCAGGCTGGAGTGCAGTGGCACGATGTTGGCTTATTGTAACCTCCACCTCCCGGGTTCAAGCAATTCTCTGCCTCAGCCTCCCGAGTAGCTGGGATTACAGGTGCCCTCTGCCACGCCTGGCTAATTTTTATATTTCTAGTAGAGATAGGGTTTCACCATCTTGGCCAGGCTGGTCTTGAACTCCTGACCTCGTGATCCACCCACCTCTGCCTCCCAAAGTGCTGGGATTACAGGCGTGAGCCCCTGCGCCCAGCCAATGCATCCTATGCATGTAGGAAATTATTATTTACAGTGCCTGATACATAGTTGGTATGCAAAAAGCATTTGCTAAGTGAGACTAATTATTACTTGACAGTCCTTGGGATGTGGAAATGTGATTGCAAAACATGTGTTAGGTACTTTGGGAAGGAAAAGAGATCATATATGGCATCTACTCCTAAATTAATTACAATATAATTAGGGAGGCAATATTCATGAGAAGATTTAAACAGGAGTTCAAAATTTATATAAGACAATAGTACAAGAGAAGTCACAGGTTATATATGATTTACTGCCAAGGAAATGATACCAACAACATGTATCCCAAGTTCAGGTATGGAATGGATATGGGCTGTAATAGTCAAAGTTCAGGTATGGAATGAGTGTGGGCTGTAATAGTCAAAGAAGGCTTCTATGAGGAGGTAGGTCAACCAGACTGGAGCACAGTAGGATCTTGGAGAGTGTGGGTAGAGGAAGAATAATCACTACTGTTACCCCCACAAACACCATTTTTCTGCCCCCAATTTCAGGAATTTACATTGTTCATTTAAGACACTGATAGTTCCAGTGTTTCAAATGGTACCCTTTTTGTCTCCCTTCTGTAACATTTTTCCTTTTAATTTTGAAATAATCTCCAACTTACAGGAAAGTAACAAGAACAGTACAAAGAAGTATTTTTTTCCCCTCTGAACCTTTCGAGAGTAGGTTACCCCTATGATGTTCCATCATTCACAAATTCTCAAAATCAGGAAATCAACATTGATGTATTACTATCATCTAATCCACAGAACCCATTCAAGTTTAAGCAGTTATCCCAATAATGTCATTGAAAGTGATGCATTTAGTTATGTCTCATTAATCTTTAATCAGAACAATTCTTTAGTCTTTCTTCGACTTTCATGACCTTGCTACTTGTAAAGATTATAGGTGAGTTATTTTATAGAATATCCCTCAATTTGATTTGTCTGGTGTTTCTTCTTGATTAGATTCAAGTTACGCATTTTGGGCAGGAATAGCACAGAAGGCATGCTGGGTTTTTCCTCGTGACATACTGTCAGGCTATAGCAATTTCAATTTGTCTCCTTACTAATAATATTAGTTTACAGATTAAGTGGTGTTTGCCAGGTTTTTCCACTGTTAAGTTATTCTTTGTCCCTTCTTAATTAATAAGTATTTTGTGAAGAGGTACTTTGAGACTATGTAAATATTCCATTCCTCATCAGATGTGTACCAAGAAGTTTAGCATACATAGATGTTTCTTGGTTGATTTATTACTGTTATGGTTGCCAAATGGGGATTTTCTAATTCCATCATTGCTTGTACATTTATTGTTGGTATTATACTGTAACAAAAAGTTTTCTTCTTTCATTCATTCATTCAGCAGTTTAGACACATTAATTCCCATTAATACTATTGTTATTTATTTTGAGGCTCAAATTGTCCACATTCTGGCCCTGGGAGTGAGAGTCCCTCCAAGCTGGACTCTGTGTCTTTTTGATATGTTCTCATTATTCTATGAATACTTCTTTACTTTGTGGCTTAGCAAGATGTTCCAGGTTCATCTTGTACCTTCTCTGCCCTAGCCTTGGAATCAGTCATTTCTCCAGGAAGCTTTGGTTCTTTTTATTGGAAAATGGCCTTTTAGTGCAAAATGCATTTGGAAACCAAAATGGAGGTGTTAGGTATGCTCATTGCTGTTGGGGTGTCACTGCTCCTAGGTCCTCTTAGTGAACATAGCTAGAAAATATATGTATGTATATACATACTCACATACACATACACACACACATTTTATTATTATTTTTGAGACAGAGTCTTGCATTGTCACCCAGGCTGGAGTGCAGTGGTGCAATCTCGGCTCACTGCAACCTCCACCTCCCGGGTTCAAGCAATTCTCCTGCCTCAGCCTCCCAAGTAGCTGAGACTATAGGCGGGTGCCACCACGCCAGGCTAGTTTTTGTATTTTTAGTAGAGATGGAGTTTTGCCATGTTGGCCAGGCTGGTCTCAAACTCCTGACCTCAGGTTATCCACCCACCTTGGTCTCCCAAAGTGCTGGGATTACAGGCATGAGTCACTGCGCCCGGCCACACACACACATCTATGTTTTATTCTATGTCCACCTATTGCAAATCATGAGTTTACACAAATACCTACAATTCCAATCCAACACCACAGAGTTCATTCTAATTTTCTGCTTTTCCATATTTGTAACTCCTTACATCTACAGTGAGAAGCCTGGATCCCATCTCCCATTATCCTCAATATATTTATTTATTTGGTAAATCACCCGTTTGTAACCAATCTCCCATTGTTACTGCGGCCCTCACCTCTCCCCTCCTCACTCTGCTTGGATTCGGACACTTTGCACTATCAGCCTATGTGGTCACCCTCTTTAACCGTGCATGCTCTAACAAATATCATCATGCTGTTACCACACATGCTGGACACAGGTGCCAGGCTTGCTTAGCTCTACCTAAGTAAATGATTTTTAGACACAATTATTTAGAAGGTAGGCAGGCTGTTGGAAAGCCAGATGCTTTCTTAATGAGAGTTATCAACTGTCATTTTCGTGTACATGTTATAACATTTGTTACTGTGCATATTACATTTAAAGCTTAGACTGGGGGGTTGGCTGGGCACAGTAGCTCACACCCTATAATCCCAGCACTTTGGGAGACCAAGGTGGGCAGATTGCTTGATCCCAGGAGTGCAAGACCAGCCTGGGCAACATGTGAAAACCTGTCTCTATAAAATAAAATTAAATAAAGTAAAGCTTAGACTTGGGGTTAACTACAGCAGGGAATATCAATGATCAAATTAACACATCATAAGTCTATTTATTCTAGGTATGTGACAGGCAACATGTAAGAGATGAAAAAATATAATCTTTGGAATCAGACACTCATGGTTTGCAATTTCAGTAGTCCAACTTTCCTATTGTTGATTTTGTGCAAGTTATCTAACTTCTCTCGACCTCAGTTTCTTCATCTATAAACTGGTGAATAACATATTTAGGTTGCTGTGAGGATTAAGTGAGTTAATGAAAGTAACAGTCTTAGAGGCCAGGTGTGGTGGCTCATGCCTGTAATCCCAGCACTTCGGGAGGCTGAGGCGGGCAGATCACCTGAGGTCAGGAGTTCGAGACCAGCCTGACCAACGTGGTGAAACCCCGTCTCTACTAAAAATGCAAAAATTAGCTGGGCATGGTGGCAGGTGCCTGTAATCCCAGCTACTCAGGAGGCTGAGGTAGGAGAACTGCTTGAACCCAGGAGACGTAGGTTGCAGTGAGCTGAGATTGCACCACTGCACTCCAGCCTGGGCAACCGAGCAAGACTTCTTCCCCCCAACCCCACATCCCCCCAAAAAAGAAAGAAACAGTCTTGGCACAAAGTATTACAGTTACTCAAGAAACAGAAACTACCAGCTGGGCTTGGCT
Source organism: Homo sapiens (assembly GCF_000001405.40). NCBI lineage: Eukaryota > Metazoa > Chordata > Mammalia > Primates > Hominidae > Homo > Homo sapiens. Next base: position 51,888,223 of record NC_000001.11, on the reverse strand, counting down.
TCAAGACATGTGAAATTTAAACAAGCAAAAAAAAAAAAAAAAAGAAAGACAAATATCGCATTTACCAGTTCCCATGAAAGCAGAACATTCTATACTACTACCTATCCTTTCAGTCCCAACACTGACTTTCTATCATGTTTCAAAACAAAACAAAACAAAACAAAAAAGGAGGCTGGGGACTATTAGAAGGGAACTCTTTTAAATTCCTGCTGCTTCTTTCTGCTTCTTTCTTCCTAAAACGATGTAAAATTTTTGCTGCATTTGCACCTATCTGTGTATCTTTCCTTCTGGGCCAAATGATAATGGTGTTCCTCTACAATTTAAGGCTAATCCCACTCTTCTGTCTCTCCAGGGATCTTGAAACTTCAATTTCCTGTATCATTCATTCATCAATTTGACAAGTATTTGTTGAATACCTACCACATGCCAGGCCCCATTTTTGACTCTAGGGATGTAGTGGGGAACAAGACAAATGAGGTACCAGCTTTCTCATGGGCCTATAACATACAGAGGGTATGTATAGATAGTAAGCTTTTTTTTTTTTTTTTTGAGATGGAGTCTCGCTCTGTCACCCTGGCTAGAGTGCAGTGGCACGATCTCGGCTCACGGCAACCTCCGCCTCCCAGGTTCAAGGAATTCTCCTGCCTCAACCTCCCGAGTAGCTGGGACTACAAACGCCTGCCACCATGCCCGGCTAATTTTTTATTTTTAGTAGAGACAGGGTTTCACCATCTTGGCCAGGCTGGTTTCGCACTCCTGACCTTGTGATCCACCCACCTCCGCCTCCCAAAGTGCTGGGATCACAGGCGTGAGTCACCGCGCCCGGCCTAAACAGTAAGCTAATAGACAAATAATATAATTTCAGATGATGAGTATTATTTTAATTAATTATTTTGAGACAGGGTATTGCTCTGTCATCCAGACTGGAGCACAGTGGCATGATCATGGCTCACTGCAGCCTCACCCTCCTGGGCTGAAGCAACCCTCCCACCTCAGCCTCCCAAGTATCTGGCATGTACCACCACACCTGGCTAATTTGTGTGTGTGTGTGTGTGTGTGTGTGTGTGTGTGTGTATTTTTTGTAGAGACGGGGTTTCACCATGTTGCCCAGGTTGTTCTCAAACTCCTGGCTTGAGCAACCCACCCGCCTCGGCCTCCCGAAGTGCTGGGATTATAGGTGTGAGCCACCGTGCCTGACCATGAGTACTATTTTAGATAGAATAAGAAAAGGCCTCTCTTAAGAGTGACATGTTTTCTGACATATGACTGGTGTGAAGAACTCAGCTATGCAAAATTTAGAGTAAGAACACTCCAGGCAGAGAGGCAGAGGTAATGGCCCTAAAGCAGGAACTACTCTAGTGTGTTGAAGGACATTAAAAAGCCAGTGTGACTGGAGCAAAAAGCTGAATGGTAGATGAGATGGTAGACTTAGAGGAAGGACAGAAATAATTAATAAGCAAGCCATATAAGCGATAGCAAGAGGCTGGATTTTATTCAAAGAGCAAAGGAATGCCATGATGGGTTTCTTAAAAGCGAATAATATAATTAGATTTTTAAATATTATTTTGTGTCTTTACATTCTTCTTTCCAGGCAGAGTTTCAAAAAATATGTATCTTTAGTCCAGAGATGAGGAGCAACTTAGCTTGATTTGTGATAAAATAATATTTCATTTGTCACATTTTTTAGAGTCACTCCTAATTTATCACGAAGTTTTGAACATCAAATTCTTCTAGAACTATGTTTATAGTATAGGAGAAAACTTTTTTTTTTTTTTTTGAGACAGAGTCTCACTGTGTTGCCCAGGCTGGAATGCAGTGGTGCAATCTCAGCTCACTGCAACTTTTGCTTCCTGCGTTAAAGTGATTTTTCTGCCGCAGCCTCCCAAGTAGCTGGCATTACAGGCATGAGCCACCATGCCCGGCTAATTTTGCTATTTTTAGTAGAGATGGGGTTTCACCATGTTGGCCAGGCTGGTCTCGAACTCCTGACCTCAGGTGATCCATCTGCCTTGGCTTCCCAAAGTGCTGGGATTACAGGCATGAGCCACCGTGCCTGGCTGAGAAAACTATTTCTATGGTCACACAAATTGCTTGGTATATTGTGCACACATTCAGTTTCGGGGGAGAAGACTCCATAAGAACATGCCTACTTCTTGACCTAGATACAAAGCTGCCAAATGTGGATAGCAATCAGTGGGTGGGACAATTAATAACCAGAGCTCCAAAGGTATAATTTCTTAGCGCATGGGCCCTGGACAAAATGTTGAAGTGGGTAATATTTCTCTTGTTACCTACCTCTTCTTTCTGTGTCTTTCCCCCTAGATTTAGCAATCTCTTCACCTACCCCAGATTCATAGTGATCTGAAGTTGCCTAGAGTGTGCTTCGAACTAGAGGAAATAAAACATATCCATTCACAAAATGGGTTAGTTTTTCAATCCTTTCGAGGGTGTTATTGGCATTTAACAAGAGTTATAAAAAGGGACATAAATCACTAATGAAGGAATTTTAGACATTAAAGCAAGGGGGAGATAATTTGGGGTTTGAGATGTTAATGGGCTCATACTATTCCAATCTACTCAATGTAGAGTCAACATTCCACATTTCTGCCTTATCCTGACTTTCAATTATAAAGATGGATAATTAAGAATAATTTATCTTTTAATTTTTAAAAGTAAGGCTGAGGCTGGGCACGGTGACTCACGCCTGTAACCCTAGAACTTTGGGAGGCTGAGGCGGGTGGATAACCTGAGGTCAGCAGTTCAAGACCAGCCTGGCCAACATGGCAAAACCCCGTCTCTACTAAAAATACAAAAAATTAGCCAGGTGTGGTGGTGCATGTCTGTAATCCCAGCTACTTGGGAGGCTGAGGCAGGAGAATTGCTTGAACCTGGGAGGCAGAGGTTGCAGTAAGCCGAGATCACGCCATTGCACTCCAGCCTGGGCAACAGAGTGAGACTCCATCTACAAAAAAAAAAAAAAAAATTAAGGCTCAGATCTGTCCCTTTTGCATTGACTAAATTAACTTTCAGAGGCAGGGATCGAACACAGAAATGAGCTGTTTTTAATTTTCATGATTTCTAAACTTTCACCAGAATAATAGGGAGACAAGGCTCACCAAATCTGATGGGAGGGAAATCCTTGAGGTAAAAATGGAAAGGAGTTTAAGGTGGCTGAAGACGAAGTGGAAATGTAAAAAAGCCTTTAAATACTGTACTCTCAGAAAGTCTGTCAGGGTCTGAAACCGAAGAAATATTAAGAAATTAAAAAATAAACTTAAAGAAAAAGTCTGGGTTGAGCCCAGTGGTGCACACCTGTAATCCCAGCACTTTGAGAAGCCAAGGTGGGAGGATTGCTTGAGGCCAGGAATTCAAGACCACCCTGGGCAACATAGTGAGACCCCCATCTCTTAAAAATAAATTAGCTAGGCATGGTGGTGCATGCCTGTAGTCCCAATTACTTGGGAGGCTGAGGTGGGAAGATTGCTTGAGTCTAGGAGGTTGAGATTGCAGTGAGCTATGAATACACCACTGCACTCTAGGCTGGGTGACACAGAAAGACCCTGTCTCAAAAAAGAAAAGAGAAGGTCTCGGAAAATGAGGTTAAAAATTACAGTCTTGTACTCTTTAACTTTATTGGGGATATCAAGTTCCTTTTAACTTCCTGATGCCTCAGTTTCCTTTTTTTTGGAGACAGAGTCTCACTCTGTTGCCCAGGCTGGAGTGAAGTAGCACAGTCTCAGTTCATTGCAACCTCGGCCCTCAGTTTCCTATATAATAGTTATACTTTCGCTGGGCACAGTGGCTCATGCCTGTAATCCCAGGATTTTGGGAGGCCGAGGCGGGCAAATCACTTGAGCCCTGGAGTTGAAGACCAGCCCGCACAACATGGACCCTGCCTCTACAAAAAGTACAAAAAATTAGCTGGGCATGGTGGTGCATGCCTGTGATTGTGGTTCCAGCTACTCGGGAGGCTGAGGCAGGAGAATCACTTGAGCCTGGGAGGCAGAGATTGCAGTCAGCCGAGATCATGCCACTGAATTCCAGCTTGGGTGAGAGAGCTAGACCCTGTTTCCAAAAAGGAAAACAACAACACCAACAACAACAACAAAGTAATAGCTTAATTTACCTGTTTCCTCTGAGGAATACTCTTTATAATACAAATGAGAGATGGTAACTTTCCAAATTATTTTAAATAGGAAAACAATACTTCTGGTTTGGAAGTCCTGGCTATGCCTATTGGTCATTTTTGAGTTTCACCTGAATAGGTATTTATCTTTATATCTGAAGACACCAGACTAAAATAATTCAGAGATCCCTTGCCAATTCTTATATTTTATATATCTAATCTGACACTTCTTTTTCTTTGAGACAGAGTTCAATTCTCCTGCCTCAGCCTCCTAAGTAGCTGGGATTACAGGCATGCGCCACCCAAGTAGCTGGGATTACAGGGGTGTACCACCACAGCTGGCTAATTTTTGTATTTTTAGTAGAGACAGGGTTTCGCCCTGTTGACCAGGCTGGTCTTGAACTCCTGGCCTCAACTGATCCTCCTGCCTTGGCCTCCCAAAGTGCTGGGATTACAGGCATAAGCCGCTGCACCGGGCCTCTGATCTGACACTTCTAACATGTGCTGTGGGTCAGAATTGTATTGGGCTCAGCATCAGAGGTATTTTTCCTGTGATCACACAGGTTTTCTTCTTAACACCCTGGTAGTTCCTTCTCAGTCTCTTTTGTGAGTTCTTCCTCTTCTGTAAGTTCCTCAAAGCTTTCTCCTTGGGCCCTTTTTTCACTTCACAATCTCAGTGTAGGTGATCTCATTCAATAAGCTTTGGTTACCACCTAGAAACCAATAAACCTCAAATTTTTATCTCCAATTTAGGTCTCTTTTCTGAGCTTCAGACCTGATCTTCATCTGTGTCTCTCACAAATAACTCAAACTTAACATGTCCAAAACTGAGCTAGTATACTCTTCTCCTACCAAAACTCCTTTTTCAGAATTTCCTGTTTACTGAGTTACTGGCACCATCATCGATCCATCCAGAAAACCAGACAGCAGGGAGTTATACCTAACACTTCTCTCTTTATTCTCCCACATCAAATCAATCACTACCTAATACTGGGCAATTCTACTTCCTGAATACATATTATTTATCTACATCTTTCCATCGCCACTATCACTCCTCAAATCCAAGGTATCATCTTCTATTGCCTATATGACTTCAGCAGCCTTCTAACTGCTCTCTTTTCTTCCAGTCTTGCCTTTGCCCCCACCATCCAATGTTTTTCATACATGAGCCAGAGCGGTCTACTTGGAAAACACTTGTGATCATACTCTCTCTTTTCTTTTGTTCAACCATTATTTACTGAGTACCACAGTGTGCCAGAAACTATTCTAGAAGCTGGGGATCCAATGATATATAAAATAGATAAGGCAATGACCTCTTACTCATAGGAAGGTTCTTTATGATCTCGACCACGGACTGCTTTCCCCTTTGCTTCCAGATTAGTACACTACAATTTAGCCATACTGACTTGCTTTCTCAGGGCTTTTGAACAAGTATGTATATTCCTACACCCAATTCCTATACATTTTTCAAATGTTAATTTACATTTCCCTTATTTACCTTTTTTTTTTTTTGAGTTGGAGTCTCGCTGTTACCCAGGCTGGAGTGCAGTGGCACGATCTTGGCTCACTACAACCTCCACCACCCAGGTTTAAGTGATTCTCCTGCCTCAGTCTCCCGAGTAGCTGGGATTACAGATGCATGCCACCATGCTCAGCTAATTTTTTTTTTTTTTTTTTTTTTGGATTTTTAGCAGAGACGGGTTTTGACATGTTGGCCAGGCTGGTCTCGAACTCCTGACCTCATGATCTGCCCGCCTCTGCCTCCCCAAGTGCTGGGATTACAGGGGTTAGCCACCATTCCTGGCCCATTTCCCTTCTTTAGAGAAACTCTGACCAGTCTAGGTCCCTTTGTTTATATCTTTCCAGAACTACTCACAATTATAAATTTAAAATTTGTGTGTTTGTTTAATGTTTGTCTCTCCCACTAGTTCTCTTTTATGTTCCAAGAGAACAGGAAAATTTCTTGTTCATCACTGTATTCCCAGTTTCTGGCACATACCACGAGCTCAATTTGTTGGTTGAATGAAGAATGGACTGCCTCACATGTGCTATGGAGTTAGAACTGTATTGGGCTCAGCATCAGAGGTATTTTTCCTGTGCATGTTACCATATTTCTACAGTCTGGTAACCTGTAAGATTCAGAGACTTTTATTTTTATTTATTTTGTGGGGACAGAGTCTTACTCTGTCGCCCAGCCTGGAGTGCAGTGGCACAATTTTGGCTCACTGCAACCTCCACCTCCTGGGTTCAAGCAATTCTCTGGCTCAGCCTCCTGAGTAGCTGGGATTACAGGTGTCTGCCACCACACAGAGACTTTTTTTTTTGAGACAGAGTCTCGCTCTGTCGCCCAGGCTGGAGTGCCGTGGTGCAATCTTGGCTCACTGCAACCTCCGCCAGAGACCTCTTTTTAAAGCAGCTCACACTTCAGGATGCAATCTTTGTCTCTTTTTTTTTTTTTTTTTTGGAGACAGGGTCTCACTCTATCACCTAGGCTGGAGTGCAGTGGCATGATCATGGCTTGCTGCAGCCTTGACCTCCTGGGCTCAGGTGATCCTCCCACCTCAGCCTTTCAAGTAGCTGGGACTACAAGCATGCACCACTATACCCAGCTAATTCTTTGTATTTTTTGTGGAGACAGGTTTTCTCTATATTCAGTTTGGTCTCAAACTCCTGGGTTCAAGTGATCCACCTTCCTCAGTCTCCCAAAGTGCTGGGACTACAGACACATGCCATTAGATCCAGCCCACCTTTGTATCTAGTTAGAAAAATTTAATTAAAAACCACTGCTGTGAGCTAGGTGCAGTAGTTATGCCTATAGTAATCCCAGTGATTTGGGAGGCTGAGGTGGGAGGATGGCTTAAGGCCAGGAGTTTGAGACCAGCCTGGATAGACATAGTGAGAACTCATCTCTAAACAAACAAACAAATAAAACCAACAACAACCCACTGCTCTGAAGAAGAGAAGTCTAGTGGAGTTGCTTAAAGTGGTAAGTTCTTGAAAAGATGTATGGAAACAAACTGGGATATTTTAAACAGTATTTTTCAATTTACCTCATCTACTGCTCCAGTTCAGGTTCCATCATTTTCTACCTGAATCATTGTACCCTTCCTCCCTAACTCCTTATCTTCCTATCCTATACAATTTGTCTTCATTGCATTTATTGTTTTTTGTATATGTGAGACAAAGTAGCAAACATAAGAAGCCATGTCTGCTCATTCTGTTTACCAGCAGAATTTCACAAACTCTCTTGCCAGCAGAATTTCACAGCCTCAGTGACTGCGCACAGCCCTCCAGAATACCCTGAAAATATGCAGGATAGAGCACAAGTTCCCATGTCTCTTGCCTGAATCACTGCATTTTTAGAAAAGATAAATCCAATGATGCTCGACCTTGCCTCTTCCTGTACATTTCTGACAGGATTAATGACTATGCCTCCATAATCTATAAACATGTGTACTCTTCCACCTAAACCTTCATGAGATTTTGCTCTAGTGTAACTCCTGAGTACATTTTTTCTTTTTTATTAGAGACAAGGTCTTGCTCTGTCACCAGGCTAGAGTGCAGAGGCACAATCATAGTTCACTGTAACCTCAAACTCAGGAGTCCCAGCAATCCTTTTAACTCTGCCTCTCCTGTAGCTAGGACTACAGGGATGTTCTACCACGCCTTGCTTTTTTATGTGTGTGTGGAGACAGAGTCTTGATATGTTACACAGGCTGGTTGTAAATGCCTGGCCTCAAGCAATCCTTCTGCCTCAGCCTCCTTAATCACTGGGATTACAGGCCCAGCCTTTCTGAGCACATTTGATTTAACTTCCAAGCACATGCAGAGCGGCCACCACCTGTATAGAAGCTGCGGGCTGAAACACTGCTTTGGAGCAGTCTAAAAAAAAAACTCTCTGACTCTCCCAGGTGGCAGTCCTCAATAAGACTTCTGAAGAAAGCTAACTTGAATTATTTAAAAGCCTGATTTACTTTAGTTTACATATTTTACAGTTCCTTCCCATTAGGATGCAAGCTCCCCCAAGGCAAGGCTTTAAATTTTTGTTGTCGTTGTTTAGACAGGGTCTCACTGTGTCAACCAGGCTGGAGTGCAGTGTTGCAATCACGGCTCACTGCAGCCTCGACCTCCTGGACTCAAGCGTTCCTCCTGCCTCAGCCTCCTGAGTAGCTGGGACCACATGCACGCATCACCAAGCCTGGCTAATTTTAAAAAAGAATTTTGTACAGACGGGGGTCTCACCATGTTGTCCAGGCTGGTACCAAATTCCCAGGCTCAAAGCAATCCTCCCGCTTCGGCCTCCCAAAGTACTAGGATTATAGGTGTGAGCTATCACTATCACGCCCAGCCTAAGGCAAGTTTTGTTTTGTTCATGGTTGTATTCCTTGCATTTGGAACTCAGAAGAGGCCTCGAAAACCTTGAAGATACAGTAACTATCAACACATCTCCCTGCTTCACGTCTTTCCCCGCTCATTCGTATGTATGAGCTATGATCTCTTACCCCATGGTGTCAGTATAGTGCATCTTACTAATTTCAGCTGCTTTTTAGCTTTCATTTATGTTTGTATTTCCGTCACATTTTACATTGCTAACCAAAGACCACTGCTAGCGGGAAAAACTGGGAAAGGAGACTTGAAGGCAGCAGACGCTGCAGCTGCTCGATAAAAATTGGCCGAATTTAACAGGAGGCTGGAGGAGCTAAAAAACGTTTTCACACAGAAGAGTTAGCACATCCAGACTGGTCTTTTTAGCACTTTCTTAGGGCTTGAGGATGAAACCCCACCACTGTCGGGCCGACTGTAGGGTAGAGAAGAGCCAATTAGTATTTGCGGCGCTCGGGAGCAGCGTCCATCCGGCGGGTGTAGGAAAATACTTCCGGCGTTCTGGTTTTTTATGTGCTGAGTCACAGCCGAAGGCTCGCCCCGGGTCTGAGGAGTAGGGTACCCAAACTATGACACGAATGGGAAAATTTAAAACTTTGGAATTAATTCTCTGCACTCGTTTCTCAGTTTTCTCATTAGGGGAATATTTTTCTTTGACACGCGGAGCACTACTCAGTGGTTTCCACAAAACACACTCGTACGTCATAAACGCGCCGGGGGCCCTTCTCCCGTCGTCCTCCGCGCCACTCTCTCCGCTTCTTCTCCCTCGCCCCGCCCACTTTGGGTTTCGAAATGTTCGCTGGCTGTTCCGAGAATCAGTCCGGGTCACGTTGGTGCCTCTCCTTTCCTGTTCTGATTGGTTGCTTACGTGAGCGTGACTACTTTCTTGCCTCATGATTGGCTGAAATCAGTAGCGTCATCGGCGGCCGGGAGGGCGGAGGGACGAGGGAAGTCGGCGAGAGGGAGACTGGGTTGGGGGAGGGGTTCAGGCCTGTTCCCCGCGGCTGCGGCAGCACCAGGGCCGGCCGCCACCGCCTCTAGAACGCGGAGGAGGTGGGTCCTGGGAAGCGGGATGTCCATCGCTCCAGCTTGGTGGTGAATGCTGAGGAGAGTCACTGTTGCTGCAGTCTGTGCCACCCGGAGGAAGTTGTGTGAGGCCGGGCGGGAGCTCGCGGCGCTCTGGGGAATCGAAACGCGGGGTCGGTGCGAAGACTCTGCTGCTGCCAGACCCTTTCCTATTCTGGCCATGCCTGGAAGGAACAAGGCGAAGTCTACCTGCAGCTGCCCTGACCTGCAGCCCAATGGACAGGATCTGGGCGAGAACAGCCGGGTTGCCCGTCTAGGAGCGGATGAATCTGAGGAAGAGGGACGGAGGGGGTCTCTCAGTAATGCTGGGGACCCTGAGATCGTCAAGTCTCCCAGCGACCCCAAGCAATACCGGTGAGGGAGGAGGCTTGCAATGGGGAGGCGAACAGTGTGCCGGCTTCTCTGTCGGTGCCGCCGTCACTTCTTGTCTCCATGTCTCCCAATGGAGCAACAGGGCACACTTTCCACCCCAAATGCTTCCTTGGGTGGAGGTGGCAAGCGTGATTAGAGGCTTCCCTGTGGTGTCAGCTGGGCAAGTGGGAGATCTTGGGTTGTAAGACGTCAGAATGGGAGAAGCTTTTCGAGTCATTTGAATACAGTCGCTAAAGCAAGAATGAAGGTTTCTTTGAGGAACGCAGCCTGAATGGTGAGGGAGTCTTGGTATTATGTTACCAGGAAAGGTTGACGGAGTTGGATACTTTAATTTGGAGGACAGGATATTTAAGGGGCATATTATCACTATCCAAAATATTTGAGGGACACTTAAGTGATAGGTGAAACTAGTGGACGAAAGTTACCAGAGGATGGTGTGGCTTCAGTAAAGTAACTTTGCATCATATTTGGCCTAAGTTGAAGTGACTTGTTTCCATGGGTAGTTCTCCATTACCAAAACGGTTGGGCGACCTCGTCCAGGAATATATTAGAGAGGGCTTAGGTCTCAGTTGGGTGAGTTGTAAGGTTTCTTCTAACCTTGAAATTCTCTACTTTTGGTTTGTACAGGAGTTCTCTAAACATTTCTAATAATTGGTGATTCAGTCCCCACCTGAGTATTTTCCTTCAGAGGTAGCTTATTTCATGGAGTATCATGACTATGATGTATCTTGCGTGTGTGTGTGTGCGTGTGTGTTTTAATAAGAGTCTGGGTCTTGCGATGTTGCCCAGGCTAATTTCAAACTCCTGGGCTTAGGGAATCCTCCTGTCTTGGCCTCCCAAAGTACTGGGATTACAGGCGTGAGCCACTGTGCCAGGCCTGGACTTTGATGTATTTTAAATAGAGTTCATATTGTCCAATAACTTCGTTGAACAGGTTGAGGAAATTGAGACCCAAAGAGTTTGCTTCTTGCTCTGAATCACACAGCTAAATAATAACAGAGCTGGTATGATGACCCCTACTATCTGACACCAAATTCAGTGTATCATTTGCTGATTTCCTTTTTTTTTTTGAAACGGAGTCTTGCTGTGTCACCAGGCTGGAGTGCAGTGGCGCGATCTTGGCTCACTGCAACCTCCGCCTCCCGGGTTCAAGCGATTCTCCTGCCTCAGCCTCCCCAGTAGCTGGGACTACAGGTGCTCGCCACCACGCCCGGCTAATTTTTTGTATTTTTAGTGGAGACGGGGTTTCACCATATTGGCCAGGATGGTTTCGATCTCTTGACCTTGTGATCCGCCCGCCTCTTCTCCCAAAGTGCTGGGGTTACAGGCGTGAGCCACCCCGCCCAGCCCGTTTGCCGATTTTTTACAAATTTCTTGCTTATGTGAATTGAAAGCTGAAGGATTCTAGTTCTAAATTTGTTATAAGCCCCTACAGCGTTAGCGCAAGAAACAACCTTATAGATAATCTTTTCCACTTCCCACCACACCTCTTTGACAGATGACACTTAGCTCCAAGTTCAGGACCAACCTAATTTCTCCTTTCACTTCAAGTCTAGATATATTTTCTCCAGGCTGCCAGAGTCAAGAGATCTTTATAAATGAGCTAAATTTTCTTTCTCATCAAAGATGTGATTGTACAGGTTGAGTATCCCTAATCCAAAAATCCAGAATGCTCGGAAATCCAAAACTTTATGAGCGCCAACATGACACCACAAGTGAAAAATTCCACACTTGGCACCTTTGCTTTTTGATGGTTGGTTCATGTACACAAACTTTGTTTCATGCACAAAATTATTAAAAATATTGTATAAAATTATCTTCAGGTTATGTGTATAAGGTATATATGAACCATAAATGAATTTTGTATTTATACTGCATCCCATCCCCAAGATACCTCATTACGTATACGCAAATATTCCAAAATCCAAAAAAATCCAAAATTTGAAATACTTTTGGTCCCGAGTGTTTCGGATAAAGGATACTCAACCTGTATTGGCAATGTATAAATGAGCAAGTTGAAAACTTGATAAAAGGTGCTTAGTTTTTGCCTTCCAGATCAAATGTTCAATAATGGTTTCAGGGTTTTTTCCAGCCTATATAAAGTTATATAATAACTAATATTTATGGAATCTACACTGTGTTTCAGCTACTGTTGTAACTGTTTTAGATGTGTTATTTCATTTACTGACCTCATTTTTGGTAAATTTGTTTGATAAATACCTGTTAAGTCCTACTGTGTGCTAGGCACCAAGCTAGATTAAATATTTTCTGAAACTTGGTCAAATATAATGTAATAAATAACATGTTAGTCTGGGTGAATATACAAAAATGATTGAGCCAGTACCTGCCTTTAGGGAGCTTACAATAGTAGAGAGGGACACAGACACATAAAAAAAAAAATTAGAGACTGTTGTGGTGGCTCATGCCTGTAATCCCAGCACTTGGGGGGCCGTGTTGGGAGGATCACTTGAGCGCAGGATTTCGAGACCAGCCTGGGCAACATAGTGAGCCCCTGTCTCTACACACAAAAAATTAGCCGGGTGTGGTGGTGTGTGCCTGTAGTCCCAGCTACTTGGGAAGCTGAGGTAGGAAGATTCCTTAGCCTGAGAGGTTGAGGCTGCAGTGAGCCATGATCGTGCCACTGCACTCCAGCCTGGGTGGCAGTGAGACACTGTCTCAAAAAACAAATAAATAAAACTAGGGCACTAAAGTTTTATAGAAGCCATAACGGAGGTATGTCCTAGATATATTGAGGAATGAAATACATTGATAAATTCCACCGGGGGAGAAAGGAAAGACTTCAAAGAGTAGATAATGCTTAAGAGTTGTTCTTTGAAAATTGTTGCGTTTTTGTCTTTATATGGCTTTTGCCAAGTCATTGTCCTTCTTAGTGTCTCAGCTTATTTTAAAAACGAAGGGGGTTGGTTAGAACAGCAGTGTTTTTCAATAACCCTCCCCTTTCAGAAGAGCAGTTCTTCCATATTACCTGTTTTATATACTGGAGTTTCAATTAGACTTTTGAAGAAAAGATGTTATTAGTTTAAAATAAAGGTGGAAAGCCTCAGGACTAGGTGATCTTTAAAGACTTATCCAAATTCAATTCTATGAATTTTTGTAACCAGAAACACACTTAGACGCATCTGCAGCCCACAGAGCTGAATTATCCTTCCAGATTCTGCTGAGATATTCCCTCTGTGAAGTCTTTCTAGGCAGAACTAATTCCTCCTTCCATTGTATTTCAGTAGGATTTTGTGCACGATCCATTACAGTACATAGCATCATATTATATATCTTTTGAATAAGTACCAGAGGAGGACCCATTTAGAGGAATATTGTGGTGAAATAATACCTTGAAAGATTTACCAGTCTGCATTTATTAATAGCCTGCGGAATTTTACTTCAGCATATGTGTAATTTGTATTCCGCTTTTTTGAAATGTTGGGCATATTTCCAGGACACCTATTATGCTTTTTTAGGGATCTGTATTAAATGCTTACCAAGTATTGATTCCCTTCCCTTCTGGAAGGGTTAAGGGACTTCAGGTTGGGAATTGATATTCAAATTTTTATTGGTGTTGAGTGGAAATTCTGGTTGGGCAGGATTAGTAGTGGTGTATTCTATTTATTTTTTATTTTTATTTTTATTTTTGAGGCAGGGTCTCACTTTGTAACCCAGGCTGGAGTGCAGTGGCGCCATCACGGCTCACTGCAGCCTCGACCTCCCAGGCTTAGGTGATCCTTCCACCTCAGGCTCTCCAGTAGCTGGGACTACAGGCACGTGCCATCATGCCCAGCTAAGCTTTTGTAGAGATGAGATTTCGCCATTTTGCCTAGGCTGGTCTCAAACTCCTGACCTCAGATGATCTGCCCTCCTTGGCCTCCCATAGTGCTGGGATTACAGGCACAGGTGAGCCACTGCACCTGGCCTGGCTGTGGTGCATTCTGAATAGTAAATTTTAACAATGAAGAACACTTAACGTTAGGTATTTTGGATTGACTAAAACAAGTACAGAGCACTTTCCATGTTTAACCTGCTCGTAAAAAGACCTGTATTTCTATGGAGAAGGAAAGAACAAATGAAAAGGTATGTAAACTTCTTTTTTTTTTTTTTTAATGATTAAAAAAAATTTTGAGACAGGATTTCAATTCATCGCCCAGGCTGGAGTACAGAGGCACCATCACAACCTGCCCCACCATGTCCGGCTAATTTTTTGTAGAAATGGAGGTGGTGGTGGGGGCAGGTGTCTCACCAAGTTGCCCAGGCTGGTCTCGAACTCCTGACCTCAAGAGATCTGCCTGCCTCTGCCTCTCAAAGTGCTGGGATTACAGGTGTGAGCTACCACGCCCTGTCGAAAAGGCATATAAACTTCTGAAGGGCAAGTCCTTCTAATTTAAATTTTGGTCAGACTGTTACAAGTGAGGAGATGGTTATCTTAATAAATTTTCAGGCTGGGCGTGGGGGCTCACGCCTGTAATCCCAGCACTTTGGGAGGCGGAGGTGGGTGGATCATCTGAGGTCAGGAGTTCAAGACCAGCCTGGCCAACATGGTGAAACCCTGTCGCTACTAAAAATAAAAAAATTAGCCAGTTGTAGTGGCAGGTGCTTGTAATCCCAACTACTTGGGAGGCAGAGGCAGGGGAATCGCTTGAACTTGGGAGGCAGAGGTTGCAGTGAGCTGAAATTGTGCTACTGCATTCCAGCCTGGGCAACAGAGCAAGACTCTGTCTCAAACATAAATAAATAAATAAATAAATAAATAAATAAATAAATAAATAAAAATTCCATATATTATAGAAAATAATGGGTGGGTGTGTGCTGAATAAGGTACAGGCTATTTCTGAATATTATGTTGTTTACTATTATATGCTGTGGAACAGGAGGAGGATCACAATTCCAGTGAGTGGAACAGTTGCATTGAGAACACTAACATTTGTTGGCTTCCTGAATAGTTTGCTAGTGAAGTGGCTCACTTCTGAGCAGAAGCCTTTTGCTCACTTTGGCAGCACGTATACTGAGCAGAAGCCTTATACAAATCTGAGGTATCAGAAGAAAACTATACACCAGAAAACAAGAGAACTTTTTTTTTTGTATTGGATGGGAAGAACATAGGTTTATTTGTTGATATTTACAATGAAAACTCCTGGAACCGTAATGCTTCATTCAATACATGAGCCAGTAATTTCATTTGTGTGTGTTTCATTTCACACACACACAGACACACAAATATTGCTAAAATGATCACAAAATCTCACAGCTACAAAAGAAATCATTATGACTTCCATGTGTGTAAATTCCATGAGATTGACAATTCCTTAGTCTGATAACAAATGAACAAGTGAATCCAAATTTCTTTTTGTTTTGCACTCTCACTTGTCTTGTAAAGTAAAGGTAACCTAGGTATTACTTCACGAGATTCAAACTCATTTAACAAAGTAAGTGCTTTTAAGATTGAAATATGTTAAATCTTATGAATACTAGTATAACTTTAATAAACATATCTTTTGTCTCTTACTATTCCTTAGACTGATTTCCTTATTTTGTTTTGTTTTGTGTTTGAGACAGTCTGGGTCTGTCACCCAGGCTGGAGTGCAGTGGTGTGATCTCAACTCACTGCAGCCTCCACCTCCCAGGTTCAAGCCATCCTCCCCACCTTGGCCTCCTAAGTAGCTGGGACTACATGTGCACACCATCATGCCCAGCTAATTTTTGTCCTTTTTTGTAGAGTTGGGTTTCGCTCTGTTGCCCAGGCTAGTCTCAAACTCCTGAGCTCAATCAGCCCACCTTGGCCTCCCAAAGTGCTGGGAGTACTGGCATGAGCCACTGCACCGGGCCTGACTGATTTCTTTAAAGTGGGCTGATGGGCTAGTAAGAATAGAAAGAGTGTATATTGTTTCTAACTGAAGTTGTGTGTGTGTGTGTATGTCTGTGTGTTTTAGGAAAATAAGATTTAGCATTAAAAAGCTCTCTGTTGGCCAGGTGCAGTAGCTCACACCTGTAATCCTAGCACTTTGGGCGGCCAAGGCAGGAAGATCACCTGCCTCTGTCTCAAAAAAACAAAACCAGAACAAAAAACTCTCTGTTTTTCTGACTGGGCGCCGTGGCTCACGCCTGTAATCCCAGCACTTTGGGAGGCTGAGGCTGGTGGATCACGTGAGGTCAGGAGTTGGAGACCTACCTGGCCAACATGGTGAAACCCTGTCTCTACTAAAATACAAAAATTAGCTGGGTGTGGTGGCGGATGCCTGTAATCCCAGATACTGGGGAGGCTGAGGCAGGAGAATCGCTTGAACCCGGGAGGCAGAGGTTGCAGTGAGTCAAGATCGCGCCCACTGCACTCTAGGCTGGGCAACAGAACCAGACTGTCTCAAAAAGAAAACCAAAAAACAAACAAAAACGCCCTGTTTTTAAAGAACTGAATGATGGTAAAAGCTCTTTTGCTTTTAAGAAGCTTATGATCTGCTGTAGGAGAGTCAGGGAGCAGATACTGAAACTGAAATGCATTAAATATAATAGGTGCTAGAATAGGGATATGTAAAGTATGACTTTTTGTTTTGTCATTTGTGTTTCTAGCTTGCTGTCTACTGGTTATGTGACCTTTAGCAAGTTAACTAATGTCTCTAAGGCTAAGGATCTTCATAAGGACACAGAAGAAGAGCAACCTATAAACAATTGAAATTGAAAAGGAGCAGTTGGGAAGCAGGTGATAGTGGCTTTTTTTTTTTTTTTTTTTTTTTTTTTTTTAATGAACCAGTGGAGGAGAATTCTTGAAGCAAGGAGTGATGATAGATAAAACTGAGAGGTCAAGCAGTACTAGGACTGAATCCCTTTTGGAGACTCGAGAAATTATTACTGGTGAAAGCAGTTTCAAAGGAATGGTATGGAGGCAGAAACCAGGTTGTAGTGAGTTAAGGATGAATGGAGAGTGAGAAATTGATTGACTGAGATGGAGTCTTGCTCTGTCACCCAGGCTGGAGTGCAGTGGTGTGATCTTGGCTCACTGCAACTTCCACTTCCCGAGTTCAAGCAATTCTCGTGCCTCAGCCTCCAAAGCAGCTGGGGTTACAGGCATGTGCCGCCATGCCCAGCTTATTTTTGTATTTTTAGTAGAGAGGGGATTTCATCATCTTGGCCAGGCTGGTTTTGAACTCCTGACCTCAGGTGATCCACCTGTCTCAGCCTCCCAAAGTGCTGGGATTGCAGGCCTGAGGCACCACGCCCGGCCAAGAGTGAGAAATTTTGAATGATGAGGTACACATTGTTTGGTTTTAAAGGGGAAGGGATGAGAGGAGATTTTAGGATAAAAACAGTGCATTGTAGCAAGAGAGAGTTTTTTTCAAGATGAATAAGAGGTGAGCATGTCTTGCTTGAGAAAAAAAGAATCAGTAGAGAAGTTGAAGATACAGACAGTAATAGATTACTGTCTGTATTAGTAATAATACTGTCAGTATTAGTAATTATTAATTACTAATTATTAATACTGTCTGTATTCATAATAATAATAGATTCTTAGATAGTTGTGAGGTGACAGGATTAATCTTAAGAACATACCCAGAGAGGCTCATTTTAGAGAGACGAGAAAATATCTTCACTTAAAGTGAAGGAAGTAACGAGTATGGATGCAGGCAGTGAAAACTTGAAAGGGTGACTTTCCCCTCTTATTTGTAAAGTAGTCATTGAAATGTACTTAGGTGGTCCTCTGGGGAACTCTAAGGGAAATAGTGGGATGCATAGGGGAAGCCTTGAGTGTGAAGGTTTGAAATAGCTAATGTAGAAAATGGGTGAAGTGTATACGTGGTAAATACTAAGAAAATTTGTGGGTTCTTGAGCATGAAAATGATAAAAGTAAAGCAGTATTTTAAGAATAAAGCAGTAGTTTAAATCTATAGGATGTGGAAGACTGGCTTAAGAGTCAGTTATAATTGTGTCAGTTGTGTTGACACAAATGGTACTAGTCTTTCTGTAGCTGATGTGTTCCCCTCTTCACTTTTCTTTTTGCTTTCCACTTAATTCACTTTAAATGTTTGCTAGGCTAAATGCCCGTGAGTACGGAGATCATGTCTGTTTTATTCACTCAAGGTCCAGTACATTTTAGGTTCTCAAATAATATTTGTAGAATGTATGAATGTATGAGTGCTTACATGCCAGGCATTTTCACAGAACTCATGGGGATATTTTGCCAGAAATTTCTTAGATTAAAATTGTATTCTGAAGCTGGGCACAGTGGCACATACTTGTAATCCCAGCTACTTGGGAGGCTGAGATGGGAGGATGGCTTGAGCCCAGTAGTTCAAGACCAGCCTGGGCAACAAAATGAGATCCCTCCATCTCTTAAAAAAATTTTTTTAAGTGTATTTTGGCCAGTTTTAAAGCAATTGATTTTCAGAGAAAATGAATATGGACAGGTTACAGAAGTGCAAATGATACAAATACTACAAATGCGTATGCTGATATTGTATATTTTGTGTGGAAGCTTGTGCTTGGCATAGTAAGCACTCAAATGTTAGCTATTACTGTTTATATATTGGATAAGGCCATGAATAAAGCTGGCTTTGTAGCATTTTTTGTAGTAGTAAAAAGTTGGTACAACTTTATTTTCCATTGGTTGAATAAAGATTAAATTATGTTACAGTTTTACAATGAAAATAATACATAGCTATAAAAAAGGATAGGTGATTTTATATGTTGAAATAGAGAGATCTTCTCTGATTTATTGTTGAATGAAAACTAGTGGCAAAACAAAATGTATAATTCCATTTTTAAAAGGAAAAAACATTACTGTTATATGTTTACTTAAATTATAGTTTTTCACGTATTCATATATATGTACAGAAACGATTAGGGATGGTATTCAGCAAGCTCATTTCTCTGGGGAAAGGAAGGAGAGATTTGACTTTTGTTTTATTTATTTTTTAGTAATTACAAGAAGATAAGTGTTAAATAACAATAAAGAAGTATTATGTGGTCATCACAGGGAAGGAACTTTAGATAAAAAGAAAATTTAAGAATTCCTGGCTGGGCGCGCTGGTTCATGCCTGTAATCCCAGCATCTTAAGTCAAGGCAGGAGGATCGCTGGAGATCATGAGTTTGAGGCCAGCCTGGGTAACAAAACAAGACCCTACCTCTACAAAAAATTAAAAAATTAGCTGGGCTTGGTGGTGTGCACCACCAAGCTGGTGTGGTCCCAGCTACTTGGAAGGCTGAGGTAGGAGGATGGCTTGAGCACAAGAGTTTGAGGTTGTAGTGAGCCATGATCACACCGGTACACTCCAGTGTGGGCAACAGAGTGAGACCCTATCTCAAAAAGAGAGAATTCTCCATAATTATTCTACCCTGCATTAACCACTGGTAACATTTTAAATAATTTCAATGCCTTATTTTATTTTTTGAGGTGGTGGCTCACTCCCTCTCAGGATGCAGTGCAGTGGTGTGATCTCAGGTCACTGCAACCTCCACCTCCCAGGCTCAAGTGATCCTCCCACTTCAGCCTCCTTGAGTAGCTGGGACGACAGGCACGCACCACCACACCTGGCTAATTTTTGTAGAGATGGGGTTTCCTCATGCTACCCAGCCTGGTCTCGAATTCCTGGATCCTAGAGTCAAGTGATCCTCCTGCCTTCATCTCCCAAAGTGCTGGAATTACGGGCATGAACCACTGTGCCCAGCCAGACAGTACTGTTACTACATGATAGATTTAAGTGCTATTCTATGAAAATACATTACTGAGGAGGTACTAAGCAGTAATTAGAGTATAAATGGATTGTATTCTCTCATTTTATTCCTTCTAACAAACTTCTCATAATGGCAGGTAATGTCCAAGGCCTTCTATTTTGTTCTTAACGTTCTATCTTCATCTTCATCTTCTGTTGTGCTATTTTGTGCTTCTTTTCTTGGCACATGTTTTCTTTGGTCATATTTGCCTTTTGAATTCATGCATGAGTATCTCCTCTCTTTTCTGTTTTCTTTCAATCGTCCCTTCCCACATGTAGTTAGTGACTCTTGTGTGGCCCTCTAGCAATGTTTTTTTTCCAAGCGATTTCATATTTTTGTAGTTATTACTTGTCTTTCCACGCTATTATGTTGAATTTTTTGAAGGGAGAGAATTTGTTTCTTTGAGTCTTTGCATACCTTCTCTTCTGTTAGTAATAAATGAATAGTCTGTACTCCTAAGACCTTATCTCTACTCTCCAGTTGTGTACTGGATCCCATCTCCTTACACCTTTTATGTTCCACTAATTATTCCAGCAATTGTTCTCCTTCCATCCTGCATCATCAGTTTGTCTTTTACTGGATCATCCCCGGGAGCATACAAATATGCTGTAATTGTTTCCATCTTCAGGAGAGAAAATTTCTTTATTCTTTATCCCCTTGGAGCTATGTCCTTCTAGCTATTCAGTTTCTCTGGTAACTGTAGCAAAACTTGTTGAGTTATCTGTACTTGCAGTTTGTAATTCATCTGTTTCCATTATTCTGTAAGCTCACTCAGAGTAGACTTCTGCCACTATTGTTACACTGAAATAGCTAGTTCAAGGTCACCAATATCTTTACATTAGTCAATTCTCAAGTTATCTTACTCAACCTATCAGCATCATACTGCATAGTTCACCATTCTTCTTGAAATGCTTTGATCAGTTGACTTTCAGGTCACCACTGTTCATAGTTCTCTTCCTGCTTATTCACAGATCTCTTCTTATTTCCCTGACTTCTAAATTTTGGATTATCTAGGGCTCAATTTTCAGACTTCTCATCTACCCTTACTCTGTATGTTGTCCGGTCTCATGACTTTAAATATCAGCCTGTATAAAATAAATTTTGTTTTCCTACCTCCATGTTTTTTCTTACTCTTTTTTTTTATAGCACTTATTGTCATTTGACATAAATTTACTTGTGCATTGTCTTTCTCTTGCACTGGAATGTTTCATCACAAGGGCAAGGAATTAGTTTTGTTTACTGCTTATATCGCCAGTGCCTAGAATAGTGCCTGTTTTAAAGTCTTGCTTCCATTTCTGTCTTCTTCCTTTTCTCCTTTGGCTTGTTACATAAGGATATACTTTTCAGTCTTTTTTTTTGGTTACTTTATTTCTTGCTTTTTGTCTGGATCAAAACATAATGTTTAGGCTGGGCACAGTGGCTCATGATGCCTGTAATCCCAGTGCTTTGGTAGGCTGAGGCAGGAGTATTGCAGGAGCCCAGGAGTTTGAGGTTACAGTAAGCTATGATCGCATCATTGTGCTGCAGCCTGAGCGACAGACTGAGACTCTGTCTTTGAATATATATGGCATATATGTATATATAAAACATACATATATATAGAAACAAAACCTTACAGATAACAGCTGAAGCCCTCTTTATATTGCCTCTTCCCATTACCTTCTCTGCCTTCTTTTTTCAGTGTTAACCACTATCTAAATTTCATGTATATACCGTACTAGTTCTATCTATAGTTGTATACTTTTTATTAAACATACTTTTTAAACAGTATATATCATTGTTTTTGCATGTTTTAAAGCATTATAGAAATAGAAAGGTATCACATTAGATGTCTCATAATCTTTTTTTTTTTTTGGTTTAACATTGCTTTTGAGATTTATCCATGTCAATAAGTGTAATTCTAGTTATTTGTGTTAACCAATGTTTAATATTTTGTTGATGAATACATCGTTATTATCTATTTTCCTATTGTCATTTGGTTACAGTTTTCTGTTATATTTTGTTTTATGACTATGCCACAATTTAGCTTTTTTCTTTTTGTTTTTCATTTAAGTTGTTTCTAGCATTTCAGAGGACTGTATATGGTTCCTTGTGCACACGTTTGAGAATTTATCTAGGGCACATACCTATGAGTGAAATGATACCTATAAGTGAAATGACTGGGCATACTCATTTTTAACCTCACTAGATATTGCCATTAGTACTCTTCTAATGGGTTGTGCTTTTTTACATTGACACCAATAGAACATGAGAGTTCCTGCTTCTTTACGTTCTTACATTTTTAGCAGTTATTGATACTGTTAGTTTTTTTCTTTTCTTTTTTTTAAAGATAAGGTCTCACTCTGTTATCCAGGCTGGAGTGCAGTGGTGAAATCATAGCTTACTGTAACCTAGAAGTCCTGGGCTCAAGGGGCCCTCCTGCCTCAGCCTCTGGAGTGGCTGGGACTGCCACCACGCCCAGCTAATTTTAAGAAATTTTTCTTTTTTTTTTTGAGATGGAGTCTTGCTCTGTCGCCCAGGCTGTGCAGTGGCAAAATCTTGGCTCACTGCAACCTCTGCCTCCTGGGTTCTAGTAATTCTTCTGCCTCAGCCTCCTGAGTAGCTGAAACTACAGGTGCCTGCCACCATGCCCAGCTAATTTTTTTTTTTTTTGTATATTTAGTAGAGATGGGGTCTCACCATGTTGGCCAGGATGGTCTCGTTCTCCTGACCTCCTGATCCGCCCTCTTGGCCTCCCAAAGTGCTGGGAATACAGGCGTGAGCTATCATGCTTGGTCGATATTGTTAGGTTTTAAAAAAAATTACTATCTGTGGAAAATTGTATTTCTCACTTTTTTTTAAAGGTTAGTCAAGTGAAGCAGTGGGAGTGGAGAAGGCATCATTTAGTTGTGAATACCACTGAATTCAGATCAGCCTATATTTTTCTTTCTTAAAAAATCTTTTTAGGCTGGGCGCAGTGGCACATGCCTGTAATTCCAGCACTTTGGGAAGCCAAGGTGGGCGAATCACCTGAGGTCAGGAGTGCAAGACCAGCCTGGCCAACATGGTGAAACCCCATCTCTACAAAAATAGTAAATTAGCCAGGCATGATCATGGGTGCCTGTAATCCTGGCTACTCGGGAGGCTGAGGTGGGAGTATCGCTTGAACCCGGGGAGGCGGAGGTTGCATGAGCCATGATCACGCCATTGCACTCTAACCTGGGTGACAGAGCGAGACTCCGTCTCAAAAAAAAAAAACAAAACGAAAAACTTAAAAAATTTGTATTTCCCCTTATTACTAATAAGATCAGACATTATTTCATAGTTTGTAGACATCAGGATTTCTCCTTTTATAAATTGCCTGCTTTTCTATTGGGTTGTTTTTTCTTTTTATAAATTTGACTTGTAAAAATTCATTTTATTTTGAATGCTAATTTTTTGTCGATTATATGAGTTGCAAATGTATTCTCTAAGTCCATAGCTTATGTTTGCTCCTTGTTTATAAAGTCAAACATTGAATCAGTTATTGATCTTTTATGGTTTGCACTTTTTGTATCTTATTCTAAAAATTTTATTATAGTTTTTTACATTAAGAAATCTAATTTTTTTTTTTTTTTTTAAGACCAGGTCTCACTCCATCACCCAGGGTGGGGTGCAGTGGCATGATCTCAGCTCACTGCAACCTCTGCCTCCCGGGTTCAAGCGACTCCCACCTCAGCCTCCTGAGTAGCTGGAACTACAGGCATGCACCACCACGCCTGGCTAATTTTTGTATTTTTAGCAGAGACAGGGTTTTACCATGTTGGCCAGGCTGGTCTCGAAGTCCTGGCCTCAAGTGATCTGCCCTCCTTGTCCTCCCAAAGTTCTGGGATTATAGGTGTGAGCCACCATGCCTGGCAAAAATCTAATTTTATTACTATTTAAAAAAAAATATGGATAACCAGTTGTCCAGTCATACTTTTAAAAAAGTATAAATCCCAGAGATCACCAAATATTTTCTGTAAAAGTTCTAGCTAATAAATACTTTGGGCTTTGTCAGTCAGGAGGTGAAATTGAGGATATTAAGTAAGTACTTGTATATCAAAAAAGAAAACAAATTTCTGCAAATTTTTGGTGAAAATTTTTATGAAGTTCAAAATATAGTATGTTTTTTGGTAATACAGTTCTACTAGTAAGAATGATGGAATTGTTTTTATTGGGATAACATTTTGCTTTATTGGGATCAAAATTAAGTGTTCATCAGTCAGTTCATCTGTTAAATCTGATTTGTAATGAGATTTTACATACCTTATCTTTGAAAATGTCTTTCCACATAGCTAGGTACCGCCAATATATTAATATTGAAATACTAATAGCAGTCTATGAGTACAGATGGTCCCTAATTTATGTTGGTTCAACTTAGGGTTTTTCCACTTTCCATGGTGCAAAAAAGTGATATGCATTCAGTAGAAACCGATCTTTGAGTACCCATATGATCTTTCTGTTTTTCACTTCAGTGTTGTATCAGTAAATTACATGAGATATTCAACACTTCATTATAAAATAGACTTTGTGTTGGATGATTTTCCCCAACTGTAGGCTATGTAAGCATTCTGAGCATGTTTGAGGTAGGCTAGGTTAAGCTATTGATGTTCAGTAGGTTAGGTTAAATGCATTTTCAATTTACAATATTTTCAACTTAAGATGGGTTTTTCAGGACCTAACCCTGTTGTAAGTCGAGGAGCATCTGTATATGACTTTAATTGAGCATATTCTTTGCTTGGAAAACATTTATATAATTATATTAGATTCTTCTCATATTTTTTCCTTTTAACATTATTATAGATTAAATAGATCAAACACTATAGATCAGTCACTTCCAATTAAATTAGGTGGGATCTCCTCAATTGCACAGTTAATGGACTTTGAAATATGGAAGTTTCTTTGTGGTTGCAACAAGGTCTGGAAGGCACTTCTGAAACTATAGTTTGTGGGGGAATGGAGGTATTACTTCTTGTTTTAACTTTTTATAGCACAGGAAGTATATGACGTAGCTTGCCATTACTTGTGATTCAAACATCATTCTTGATTGAAATGACTTAAATGCTGTTTTGTCTTGTAATTTTAGGTTGAGTTCATTAAAGAAACATTATTAAATCTGCACCAAAAGCTAATTTTTTTTTTTCTTGAGACAGAGTCGTGCTCTGTCACCCAGGCTGGAGTACAGCAGTGCAATCTTGGCCCACTGCAGCCTCTGCCTCCCGGGTTCAAGTGATCCTTCTGCTTCAGTCTCCCAAGTAGTTGGGACTACAGACGTACGCCACCATGCCCAGCTAATTTTTGTATTTTTAGCAGAGACAAGGTTTTGCTGTGTTGTCTAGGCTGGTCTTGAACACCTGATCTCAAGTGATCCGCCTGCCTTGGCCTCCCAAAGTGCTGGGATTACAGGTGTGAGCCACCATGCCTGGCCTCATTTTGAACTTCTCTGAAGAAATTCTACAGTGATGTGATACTTTGTTTTAAATTTTCTACTTTTTCTGGTTATTGCTTGTTTTTTTTTTTTTTTTTTTTTTTTTCCTCCACACAGAGTCTCACTCTGTCATCCAGGCTAGTGTGCAGTGGCCTGATTTCAGCTCGCTGCAAACTCTGCCTCCCAGGTTCAAGCGATTCTCCTGCCTCAGCCTCCCGAGTAGCTGGGATTATAGGCACGTGCCACCACACCTGGCTAATTTTTGTATATTTAGTAGAGACAGGGTTTTGTTGTCCAGCTGGTCTCAAACTCCTGGCCTCATGTGATCTGCTTGCCTTGGCCTCCCGAAGTGCTGGGATTACAGGCATGAGCCACTGCTCCTGGCCTTTTTTTTAAGACAGGGCCTCCTCAGTCTGTTCCCTAGGCTGGAGTGCAGTGTCATGATCATGGCTCACTGCAGCCTTAACCTCCTGGCTCAGGTGATCCTCCCACCTCAGCCTCCTGAGTAGCTGGCACCACAAGTGTGTGTTACCACCTCGGGCTAATTTTAAAAATTATTTGCAGAGATGAGGTCTCCTTTTGTTGCCCAAGCTGATCTTGAACTCCTGGGCTCAAGCAATCCTCCCACCTCAGCCTCCCAAAATTCTGGGATTACAAGCATGAGCCACCACACTCAGCCTCTTTTTTTTTTTCTTTTTTAGAGAGATGATCTCACTGTGTCACCCAGGCTGTACTGCAGTGGTGCCATCATAGCTCACTGCAGCATCGAACTTCTAGGCTCAAGTGATCCTCCTGCCTGTGCCGCCCAAAGTGTTGGAATTACAGGCATGAGCCACTGCTTCTAGATGGATGTCTTTTATTGGCGGGGGGGAAAGCCCTATATACGTATATATGTATTTTTTACTAATTCTAAAACTGCTAACCCAAGCAGGACAAAATTTAATTGAATACCAAGAAAATAACCATGCCAGATTTTCATGCTAAATCAGCTAATACTAACATTGTTTAGATACGCAATTTGAATGAACTCCATGGTCCAAAGTCAAATTACCTATGATAACTCATTCTAATAAACAGTTCTATGCATCTAAATTGGAGAGACAAAATTGGCATTTAGGAGGATATTAAGTCCAATGTTATCCATGGACTCATGGAGAGCTTTGACCCACCTGGCCCTTCCTGAGTCGTCGAAGTTTCCATTACTAAAAGCTCTGCAGTCAGTGACTCATCATAGATGAGACTAAGTAATCCCAATTGCATATAAATGTGTGCGTGTGTGTGGCGAATGTTCTAAATGCGAAAATGGTTTATGACCAATGTTTGGTTTGTCAAACCCATAATCAATCCTGAGAAGATAATAAAAACTTCAGGTATATTTCTGCCCTGGTGGGCCATTTAAACATTTATAGAGGTATTTTCTTCACTTGTCATTTTCAGTGTATGTTTTCTGGTGGTACAGAATCTTTCTCATGTAGCCAGGCACAGTGGCTCACCACTTGTAATCCTAGCACTTTGGGAAGCCAAGGGGGGCGGATTGCCTGGGCTCAGGAGTTCAGGACCAGCCTGGGCAACATGGTGAAACCACGTCTCTACTAAAATAAAAAAAAATAATAATAATAATAAAAAGCCAGGCCTCATGGCATGCACCTGTAGTCCCAGCTACTTGGGAAGCTGAGGCACAAGAATTGCTTGAACCTGGGAGGCAGAGGTTGCAGTGAGCCAAGATTGTGCCACTGCACTCCAGCCTGGGCAACAGAGCAAGACTTTGTCTCAAAAAAAAAAAAAAGAAGAAGAAGAGATTTGATTATCTCTGTGGCAGAGTGAGACCCTGTCTCAAAAAAAAAAAAAAAAAAAGTAATACCACTTGGGCAGCCGGGTGCAGTGGCTCACGCCTGTAATCCTCATACTTTGGAAGGCCAAGGTGGGTGGATCACCTGAGGTCAGGAGTTTGAGACCAGCCTGGCCAACGTGGTGAAACCCCATCTCTGCTAAAAATACAAAAATTAACTGGGCATGGTGATGCCCGCCTATAATCCCAGCTACTCGGGAGGCTGAGGCAGGAGAATCACTTCACCATGGGAGGCGGAGGTTGCAGTGAGCCAAGCTCATGCCACTGTATTCCAGCTTGGGTGACAGATCGAGACTCTGTCTCAAAAAAAAAAAAAAAAGAAGTAATACCACTTGGAACATCTTTGTGCATATAATTTTTCATACTCTGGACAACTTAATTGGGAAATATTAACAAAAGTAAAATAGGTCTAATTAATAAAGATGTTTTTAAGGCTGATAGTGTCCCACACTATCTCTCTTGTAATATTCTAGCTACTATATTATAAAGGTGGTGGTAAGAAGAGAAAGGAAGGTTCTTGTAGGTAGCACTTCTCTGTTCCTTATTATTCTAGACACGTAAGTTTATACTGTGAATAAACATATTTTCGGTTTTGATTTAAAGTCACCCCCAGAAAAGTAATAGTAATTGCAACAGGAAGACCAATTGGAAGAAAGCTTTTACTTTCTACTGGGGATGAAAAAGTAGATAGAAGTAAACTCTCCCGGTGACCAAGGTGTATGAAATGCCATTTTAAGCTAGCTGTAGTGGCCAGAAGGCACTGGGAGAGTCGAGTAAGAGAAAGAGGTGGCAGTCTCTATAATGAGCTAGCTGCAGCAGCAATGAACACAGAGGCAGCTATGAGTGTGAATGATAGACATAAGTCTGTATACAACTGTAGTTAAACTGTCTCCAGATAAGAAAGTTCTAGAGCAACTATCCTATATTTTTGAAGAAAAAACAATTCTATCTGGGGAAGTTTTATTCTTCAGAAAGAAAAACTTACGGAATGGGAAAATCAACCCTATCTAAATCAACCCTGACTAGTCAACCCAAGTCAACTCTGAGTATCTCTGAGGTGAAAGATGAAGCATGCTGATGGGTGTCAAATCCAATCTTGTATGAATAAAATAAGCATCGGGGAAGCATAGATGTCATCTTCTAAGGCAAACATTCTGAGGATCTGGCAGCATAAATCCATCAGTTAATTTATAATATAATTGGACACCACTATGGCCAAAGTAAAAGACACGGCCAAATCTGGATCACCTTACAATTTTCAAGATGCTTTCAAGATCCCCCTTGTCCTGTTATGGCTGAGGGAAGCAGTGATGGGAGTAGGCACCATAGTCTGTAACCCCTCCCCTTCTGTCTCGGTACAGACAAAGCAGATAAGCTGGGGCTCTGGTAATCTTACACAGTTTACTTCATGCCAATTTTTATGCTCCATGAGATCCAGGTAAACTGAGAATGCTGTGCATCTCCTACATCTAACTACATCATTTCTAAATACTTAGAAATATTTTAAGTTTTAATACTTAGAAGTATTTTAAGTTACCGTAAAGACTTTGAAACTGTGACACAGGTACCCTCCCCTCTGATGTTTTTCCTAGTCATCCTGGGTCTCAGGTAGCCACATGGCACCCAAGATGGGTATGAAGGGCAGGTCCTGTCTGAGTCCTGAATTTACGCACAGCTGTAGACCTCATGACAGAAGACAGAAATGGGAAGACATTGCCTGGAGGACGGAACCCTCCCAAAATAGCCAGGAGGCAAAGCTAGGGCAGGGGAAAAGGGGATATATTGGGCTTGATTCTGCCTTGCAGCTGGTGGCCTAGGCATTGAGAATGTGTCCTCATGCCTCACTGTGGGCATACATCCAGACCTCTGACTCCAGAGGCTCAAAACCAAAAACAAGCAAGCAAGTATCAAATTATATTTAACTGATAATTTTGAAGCCATTTCTATTTTAGTAACAATTTACAACTACCTTTATTTACTAAATATTACATACAAGTAACACATATAGACACAGACACAAAGACAGAAGCAGATATTATAGCTTACATAAAGGATTGTCATTTGCTGGCTTTTGAATAGTTTTTCTTTTCCCCATTCAGACTATCATTCTTCCATTACCTGTTTCATTGCCCTAAGGAGTTGTTAGCTAGGCAACCTTAAATTTGCATTTCTAATGGGACAACTCTTAGGTGAAATAAGGTAGAAAATTTATATCTCAAAAGCACAACCTAAGACTTTAGGCGTACATATTGTACCCTCATTTGCTCAAACCAAGGAAAAAATGATGTGAGTAAAAAATTTCAGTTAAGATGTCCAGAAAAGCACCTTAAACAAAGGTTTGACTTGTTACATAAATTTAAAACTATGGTAAAAGTTTCTAATATACACAGGCAGACACCCTTACAAATGGAGATTTCCTTTATAGATGTAAATTTCTTTTACAGAAGAGTTTCAGGATAGCCAGTTAAATGCCAGGAAGGTATATTTTAGTTGGGTAGGTGGTTTATTTGACTTAGCTACTGTTTCTTGGCTAAAATTACTGAGTTCAGGGTAGATGGAGCCCATTGAGGAATAGGGCAAAGAAAACAGTACTCTGTGCTTGGACTCAGACTGGATAGATCTAAAAAAGAAGCAAGTCTGCTTTACCCACTGGTTTACATTTTATCAACATTTTATCCAGGATATCGTTATTTTCACTCTTGAGGCAGGATAGTGTTTATGCCAAAAGTTTAGCAGATTTAATTATTCTTGTGAATTATTCACCTGAGCTTTTTATTTGCCTTTTTTTTTTTTTTTTTTAAAGACAGGGTTTCCCTCTGTGTAATCACAAAGGCACAGTCACAGCTGATTTGCAGCCTTTACCTCCTGGGCTCAAGTGAATTTCCCACCTCAGCCTCCTGAGTAGCTGGAACTACAGGTGTACACCACCACATCCAGCTGATTTTTAATTTTTTGTAGAGAGGAGATCTCACTATGTTGCATAGGCTTGTCTTGAACTGCTGTGCTCAAGCGATCTTCCTGCTTTGATCTCCCAACGTGTTGGGATTACAGGCATGAGCCACCACACCTGGCCCTATTTGCCTTTTATGAAGTCTTTTAATAAAGCAATAAAAATATTGAAATGTTTTTAGAAGCTTCTGCACATCAATAGGCATCCTTGAAGACTAATTCAGGACCCCTCATTTTTAAGTGCTGTGTTGTTCATTAGGAACGGTCCATTGTAATTTTAAGTTACAAAGATTTTGCCATTTCTGTAAGTAGTTATTTCTTCTGAGGCCTAATATTTATACATTCTACCTTATAGCTAGAAGGTAGAATACGGTGTTCTTCAGATACTAAGGATCCAATATTTCCCTAGAATCCTGGATTTGGTCCTCAGATCCCCTTCATCAATTTAGTTAATGATTTTTCCCTACCTAAGGGTACAAGAAAAAGAATGTAGAACACAAAAATCTCTGCAAATTTCTGAAGTCTGCACCCACTGTAATATTACCATTTCTGCTAGTTTCTGCCTGATCCTGGACATCTGCAGCCTCTTAACTGAATCCAAGTCAGTTAATTATCAGATCCAATCCAATCATGGATCCAGTCCAGTTTCTGTTGTGACTTCCAAACCCAGTTCGGATCAGAAGTTTGCTCAAACTCGGTTCCAAACAGAAATCTGTCGAGCTTCAGAATCTCAGCGAGAACTTACCACGATATCAGTTGCTTCCAGAAAGCAATGGACATCGTGAGTCTGAGGGGTACCTTGCTTGGTCACTCCATGCTCCTGGGCATGACATCTGTTGAAAACCTTAGACATATTAAATTTAACAGAGTTTAACTGAGCAAAGAATGATTCACAAATTGGGTAGCCCAGGAACCAGAATAGGTTCAGAGAGGCTCTGGTGCAGTCCCATGATTGAAGATTTATGGACACAAAAAGGAAAGTGATGTACAGAAAACAGAGATGAGGTACAGAAACAGCCAGATTTGTTACAGTTCGGGCATTTGGAGTATTTGAACATAGTTTGAACAGTTGGCTGCCTTTGATTGACTGAAACTCGGTAATTAGCACAAAAGTAGGTTACGATCTGTTTATACATCTAGTTAAGTTTCAGTTCACTGTGTACAGAGAAACCTTTAGGCCAAACTTAAAATATGTAAGGAGGTGGCTTTAGGTTAGACTTAATTTAACAGATGTTATATATATTGGTTTTCATCCACTGTTCCTGTCTTGTAACTCCCATAGCCCTTGTTAAAGTCTTTTTGTTACAATGTTGGGTGTGTCAGGTCTCATGTGTCTAGACTTAATTTAACAAATGTTACATATATTGGTTTTCATCCATTGTTCCTGGCTTGTAACTCCCATAGCCCTTGTTAAAGTCTTTTTGTTACAATGTTGGGTGTGTCAGGTCTCATGGGCAGGCCTCAGGAAACAGAATTTCTCAGACTTTCTCCTATCCATCTCTCATCTGCCCCAAGACAAGACCCTATAATCTTCCCTGCCTTTCTGATTGGGAGTTATAAGACCCTCCTCAGAGGGCGTCCCACCCTATCCTTGGAGGAAGGAATGCTGATATTTTGAAATTTCCATAAAAACCCAGGAGGACTAGGTTCCAGAAGCTTCAGGATGGCTCAACACGTGGAGGTTCTTGGAGGGTGGCCTGCACAGGAAGGGCATAGAAGCCCTGTGCCCCTTCCCCCATACCTCACTCTGTGCATCTCTTTATCTGTAATATCCTTTACAATAAACCAGTAAATGTAAGTGTTTCCCAAAGTTCTGTGAGCCCTCCAGCAAATTAATCAAACCCAAAGAGGAGGTCGTGGGAACCCCAACTTGAAAGCCGGTAAGTCAGAAGTTCCAGAGGTCTGGACTTGAAACTGGTATGTTTGTTTGTTGGCAGGGCAGTCTTGGGGACTGAGCCCTCATCCTGGGGGATCTGATGCTATTTCCAGGTAGTGTTGGAGCTGATTTGGAGGACACCCAGTTGGTGTCCACTGAAGAATTAATTGCACGGATTTGGTCACAGAAGACTTTGGTTGCTGACCATTGTAGTAGTATGAGAGAAAAAGAAAAACCGTTTGAGAGTTTTTCCTAGAAATGAAATACCTAGAAATGAAATTACTGAATGAAAAGTATTCAGAGTTTCCATTAAAAATAAAAATGGCTGTATTTCCCTACAAGAATGTGATACCATTTGAGATTCATCAGAAATGTGTGAGAATAATCTGTCCACTTATCAGCACTGGATAGCAATTGTTTTTATTTTTTGTTTAGTTAATTTGTTGGATGAAAAATATTTCATTAAGTTGATTGTCTTTTATTTCTAGTGAGATTGCGCATCATTTTATTTGACATCTTGTGTTCTTGTAATGTGTGTAGTATATATTATTATTATCATTATTATTTTTTTTTGACACAGAGTCTCCATCTGTCACCCATGCTGGAGTGCCATGGCGCAATCTTGGCTCACTGCAACCTCTTCCTCCCTGGCTCAAGTGATCCTCCAGCCTCAGACACCTGAGTAGCTGGGATTACAGGGGTGCGTCACCATACCTAGCTACTTTTTTTTGTATTTTTTGTAGAGACAGGGTTTTGCCATGTTGGCCAGGCTGTATAGCACATATTTTTAAGCTTATTTTTTAATAGGGTTTTTTTCTCTTAATGATTTGAAGGAACTCTTACATGTTGTTAGTTTTTCCTCCCAGTATGCAATTTGCTGTTTGATTTTGTTTATGATATTGTTTTATAAAAACTTAAAATTAGTATACAGTGAACTCTTTTCATTTTTTTTTTCTTTATAAGGGCTTGGATTTTTTATCTTGTTTGGTACAAATTTTCTTCACCCAAATATTATACCAATTTTTTTTTCTTAAATAAAAACATTCTTTCCTTTTAGCTCTGTTATAGAACTGAACTTGGGTCTGCTCGCCTGGCACAATAAGGACATAACCACACTGAGGTTTTGCAGCAGTAGAAAGGAAGGCATTTATTTTCAGGATGCTACGCAAAGAGGACCAGGTAGCTAATGCTTAAATCCTGACCTCCCCGATGATTTGCAGGTAAGGGTTTTTAAAGGCAGTGGTAAATTTCTGGATAGCAGAAGTTACAGACAAAATCATAAACCATACATGGAGGGTTACACACTGATTTTGGCCTAAAAGGTTGGGATATCTTGAAGCAGTGGTGTATAGGTCATAGGTACAGTAGAAGATTTTCTGATTTGCAGTTGGTTAAGGAGGCAAAGCTTTTTCTAAAAATTTGAGATCAGCAGAAAAGAATGTTAGCACTGGCTCATGGGTATAACCTTCTCCAGGCCCCTCAGAAAGAAATTTAGAACAAAGAAGGGGAGTCAGAGTTCAGTCCCCAGTTCCTCTCTATATGAGGTTGCTGTGCTGGCAGATCCTTTTGGTGTGGGCACAGGTTTCTGAAAAACAACTGGAGACATGTTAAGGTATTATCTTTAGTTTTTATAGGGAAGCAAACATTCTTGTGACTCTTAACTTCCTTGGCTATTTTTGTTGTTGTTAGAGATGGGGTCTCGCTATGTTGCCCAGACTGGTCTTGAACTCCTGGCCTCAAGTGATCCTCCCACCTTGGCCTCCCAAAGAGTTGGGATTACAGGTGTCAGCCACCATGCTGGGCCAGCTTGGCTGTTGTTACTGTTACCTGCTTGTTTATCAAGTTGCACATTTATTTTTCAGGGCTAGCTAGGTGCCTGAAGTTTCCTTTGAAATAACTGAAGATTTTCCTTTTTTCTATGCTTGGGGTCCCTGCGTCATCTCAATTCCCCATCTTTTGTCACCCATCAATCTTGTGGGGTACTGGGGTGCAGACTGCTCTGCCTACTTCCTGTTGAATTGGGGCAAAGATTGAGGACTAGGATATGAGGATATTAAGTTTCTTTTCTTTATTTTTTTGAGATGGCATCTTGCTCTGTCGCCCAGGCTGGAGTGCAGTGGCATGATCTCGGCTCACTGTAACCTCTGCCTCCTGGGTTCAAGCGATTCTTCTGCCTCAGCCTCCTGAGTAGCTGGGACTACAGGTGTGCACCTCTACGCCTGGCTATTTTTTGTATTTTTAGTAGAGACAGAGTTTCCTCATATTAGCCAGGCTGGTCTCAAACTCCTGACCTCGTGATCCACCCGCCTCGGCCTCCCAAAGTGCTGGGATTACAGGTGTGAGCCACCGCCCCTGGCTGAGGATAGTAAGTTCCTAGCACGGAATTCAAGGTATCCATGAGTCCCAGGCATGGCACCATGGTGCTGAACTGTCATTATTTGTATTAGTCACTGCTTTATTACATTTTAACACACATTTGGTTATGATATAAAGCACAAGAAAAATTAGCAAGATTGATATGCATAACTTTAGCAATCCAGAAAACATGGATTTTATTCCATGAGGAATCCAAGAAAAGAAAGAAGAAAACCAGTCCTTAGGGACAGTCAGGGAGATCTGTTGTAACCAAGTGACTTGTTCTCTAATTTATTTTAGATGAGTTTCTACCTCAGCAGATTCATTTATATAAGTATTGCATGTGGGATTTGCAACCATACACACTCCTCCCTGCTTGGCTAAGATGTAATCTAAGGCTATCCTATTATCTAAGACACCTGAGCCAATGAATTAATTCTTTTCTGCTAGACAGCTATTGCTGCTGAAGTTTCCTTAGCAAGAATTCCTAAAGAGAGAGATTTCTAATCATGTGCTCATAGGATGCCACTCCCCACCAAGGTAACAAAGTCCATCCAAAGAAATAACCCGCATCCATCTTTTTAGTACCTGGGCAAGAATAGATTTGTGGATCCCAAAGTGAGTATGTGGACTTGTTTACTTTTAATGAGTTAATTTACTTGCAGCTAAGATACGGGATTTCTGACATGTTTAGAGAGCAGACTTCTAAGGAGGGAGCAGGGCTCTTGCTCCTCTCAAGAGGCAAAATCAAGTAAGCCTTTTATATAGAGGCAGAGTCTCATTATTTCTGGCAAATTTGTTTGAAGCTTCAAGTGAAGGGACTTCCAAAATAAAGGAATTCTTTTATATAATATATATATATATATTTTTTTTTGGAGACAGTCTCCCTCTGTCACCCAGGCTGGAGTGCCATGTCTTGGCTCACTGCAACCTCCGCCTCCCAGGTTCAAGCGATTCTCCTGCCTCAGCCTTCCGAGTAGCTGAGATTACAGGCACACGCCACCACATCTGGCTAATTTTTTTGTATTTTTAGTAGAGACAGGGTTTCACCATGTTGGTCAGGCTGGTCTCGAACTCCTGACACCATGATCTACCCGCCTCGGCCTCCCAAAGTGCTGGGATTATAGGCATGAGCCACCGTGCCTGGCCAGGAATTCTTTTATGTAATATTCTGAAAGGGGCCCTCAGATTATGATGATTGAAGGAACTTGAGTATCATTGTTCTATTAGCTGGGTCAGATGATATATCTATAGGTTACCTGTCTTTGTCAACGTCTCAGAAATTCTAATTATAAAATTGCCCTTTTAATTTGGGAGGATGAAAGTCCACAAGGAAGCATAACAAAAAGGCAATTATATTTATAGTTCAGTGTGATCACCTGAAGTAATTAAGACTCCAGGGCAGCACACAGAATTTGCTAAGCCAGTAGTAGACAGAGAAAATAAGAAAAGTGGCCGGGCATGGAGGCTCACATAAAAAACTATAAAAAACTATATATAAAACTATTAAAAAAACTATAAATATATAAAACTATTAAAACTATATATATAAACTATAGTTTAAAACTATATAAATATAGTTTTAAGGCCTCATATACATGTTATATATAATGTATATATAGTTATAGTTATATAATTTTATATATATAGTTATATATACATACACAAATATGGCCTAAATATTAGTTTTAATTAGACTTTTGAGTATAGAGTTCTTAAAAAAATATCCTTTCAAATCTCTTACTATCAGATTTTTAGCTGGGACAAACAGTTGATATTTCTGGCTTTTGAACTCTTTTCACCCCAAAGATATTCTCCCCCATGAAACTAAGAAGCGTTAGCCAGGGTTATGACTTCAACAAGGACACATGAGGTCTCGAAAGAGGTGGAAAGCAGTTTTCACAAGATTCAGAGCTGCCCCAAAGACAGCTTAAAGAGAGGAAAATTTCGTCAGCCATAAATGGAGTACAGACCACATTTCTGTTTGGCCATATTCTCTAGAGCCTCAGTTTCTCAGCTGACCATTCACACACACAACGTGTACCAAAAAGCATACCAAAAAACCTGTAGGCTGCCCCCCTCACAGATGGAGGACAGGAAATCAAAAGCTGCCCATAGAAGGAAAAAGGAACGATAAATGGCAAAAGTCACACAAATATTAAACCAAAAAATGATGTGTTCCTTGGCTGGGAATTCAACCCAGGCAGCCTCAGTGCTTTACCACTGCTGTTCCTGGAGGGGATCTAAAGCAGGCAGTTTTGAGCTTGCAAAGGATTTTAACCTTGTTTTAGGTGAGATATTTGTTCTTTAATTTAGTCAAGTGAATTCTCAAGGCTAGTCATGACACTATTAAGTGTCCTTTGTAAAATTTGTTTAGAAAATAACTTTTTTTTGTAAAAGCAATTGTTTAGAGAGATGCCTGAGATTATTTTAAAATTTAGGGGTCCAGTTTAAAGGTTCCCCTTTTCAGGCTTTTTTCTGGAGTCTTAAAAAATACTGTGGCCAAGCACTACTGCAATTAAAAAAAAATCATTTTTTTTTTTTCCTTGGGCCCAAATCTAAAAATGGCCCAATTCTGCAGAATACACCCTAATGGGCTACAAAGGAAATAGAACTTGTGTTTCTCAAATGAAACAAAACCCTGGACAAGGCATTAAAGGTTTGTCGCAAAACCTAGGTGACAAACCTTTAATGCCTTGGCCAGGTGTTAAGTATTAAATAGATTTTCAAGCAAGTAAATCACAATCAAATTGTGATTTTTCAAGGTTTCAGTCTTCAGCTCTGGGATATCTCCCACCAAGTGCATTCTGATGAAGTAGAGCCCAATACCTTGCTGAAGCAAGGCTGGATTTCCTGCTGAAAGGAAAAATACTATGGGGCTATCACACATCAACCCCCCACTTACCAAAAGACATCTTCTCAGGTGATTTATTTCTAATGCTGTGAAAGTAGAAGCACCACAGGCCAACGGTGTCTGATTGCCTGCCAAATACACGGATCTGTCCCTGAATAAAATAATTCAGGCAGCTGCTGGATTGGGCCCAAGGGTGGCTGCGGCCAGGGACTTATGTGGTACAGATGAGGCACCCACTCCAGACTTTTGTCCCATTTTGGTTGCCGGTGTTTAGAGAACCAAACCGGAGTTGGCTCACCCAGTCCAATAAGGCCAGATATCCACACCAAGATTTTGCAGTGGTAGAAAGGAAGGCATGGTGTTTATTTACAGGGTGTCAAGCAAGGAGGACCAGGTGACTAACCCTTAAATTCTGACCTCCCCTATGATTTGCAGGTAACAGTTTTTAAAGGCAGGGGTAAATTTCAGGATAGCAGACGAGTTCAGTACCCAGTTCCTCCTTATCTGAGGTCTGTGTGCCCGCAGATCCTTTTGCTGGGAGTTCAGGTTTCTGAAAAACAACTGAAGTGACAGATGTTGAGATGTTATCTTTAGTTTCTGTAGGGAAGCAAACGTTCTCATGACTCTGACTTCCTTGGCTATTTTAAAGTTACTATTACTTGCTTATTAAGTTGCATGTTTACTTTCCAAGGCTAGCTAGGTGCCAGAAATTTCCCTTGAAAGAACTTAATATTTTCTTGTATTTCTATGCTTAGGGGCCCACAGGCCCTTAAAAGGTGTCCCTGTTCTGTTTCAGCTCTAAGTAATCTGGAATTTATATATGTTGAAGGTAAGGTAGACATGGCTATTTTTTCCTCACTAAATGAGTAGCCTATTGTTTGAGCATCATTTGTTGAGTTGTGGTAGTAAATGGCATTGTAACAGTATTATATACACTGCTCTGTTTTTAGAAACTCTTGGCTTTCATTGATCTGTTGGTGTTCCTGTTAGTACTTCAGCTTCATTTCAGTCACCTTAAAAGTCTGTATTTTTATTTATTTATTTATTATTATTTTTTTTTGAGATAGAGTCTCGCTCTGTTGCCCGGGCTGGAGTGCAGTGGTGTAATCTTGGCTCACTGCAACCTCCGCCTCCTGGGTTCAAGTGATTCTTGTGCCTCAGCCTCCAGAGTAGCTGGGATTACAGGCACGCACCACCAACCTGGCTAATTTTTGTATTTTTAGTAGCGAAGGGTTTCGCCATGTTGGGCAGGCTGATCATGAACTCCTGGGCTCAAGTGATCTGCCTGCCTTAGCCTCCCAAAGTGCTGGGATTAGAGGCGTGGGCCACTACACCCAGCCTAAAGTCTGTATTTTTATACCTGGTAAGGCAGTTCCTTCCCCTTGTTCTTCCTTTCCTTTTCTTTCTTTTTTTTTGTT
This sequence comes from Homo sapiens, assembly GCF_000001405.40. Classification (NCBI taxonomy): domain Eukaryota; kingdom Metazoa; phylum Chordata; class Mammalia; order Primates; family Hominidae; genus Homo; species Homo sapiens. Next base: position 51,849,818 of record NC_000001.11, on the reverse strand, counting down.
TTTGAGACAGAGTCTCGCTCTGTCGCCCCGGCTGGAGTGCAATGGCGCGATCTCGGCTCACTGCAAGCTCCGCCTCCCTGGTTCACACCATTCTCCTGCCTCAGCCTCCCGGGTAGCTGGGACTACAGGTGCCAGCCACCATGCCCGGCTAATTTTTTGTATTTTTAGTAGAGACGGGGTTTCACCGTGTTAGCCAGGATGGTCTTGATTTCCTGACCTCGTGATCCATCCACCTCCACCTTCCAAAGTGCCGGGATTACAGGCGTGAGCCACCGTGCCCGGCCATCTTTTTCAAAATGTTCTTGGCATTTTTGTGTGTTTTGGTCCACATGAATTTTAGAATCAGTATGTCAAGTTCCACAAAAAAATCTTGTTGGGTTTTTTTTGTTTTGTTTTGTTTTTTTGAGAAGGAGTCTTGCCCTGTCGCCCAAGTTGTAGTGCAGTGGCGGGATCTCGGCTCACTGCAAGCTCCGCCTCCCGAGTTCACGCCATTCTCCTGTCTCAGTCATTCTCCTGCCTCAGCCTCCCGTATAGCTGGGACTACAGGCGCTCACCACCATGCCTGGCTATTTTTATTTTTATTTTTTTGTATTTTTAGTAGAGACGGGGTTTCACTGTGTTAGCCAGGATGGTCTGGATCTCCAGACCTTGTGATCCGCCCGTCTCGGCCTCCCAAAGTGCTAGGATTACAGGCGTGAGCCACCGCATCCGGCCCTTGTTGGGGTTTTTTATGGGAATTGCCTTGAATTTATAGATTAATTTGGGGGAAGAATTGGTATCTTTATAATATTGGATGTTCCCACCCAGTAATATAGTATGACTGTTTAGTGAGGTCTTTCATTTCACCTGTAAAGTTTTCCTAATGTTGGCTGTTTAGTAGTATTGAAAAGAATGTGTTCTAGTGTCATGCTACTTAGAGTCGGTCTTTGCTAAGCCACAATAAGGTTGGGCAAATAACAGACCTTTTTTGTGCTTCAGTTTCCTCATCCATAAAATGGGAATAACTCATCAGGATTATTGTGAAGATTAACTGGGTTAAGACATGTAAGTTAATACATTAAAAATGTGAGCTATTGTTATTAGGTATATTTATGCATTTTATAGTTTATATTGCTTTGGCCAAAGGGATTTTAAAAAAATCTTACTTTGATGTATAGGAAAGCTACTGATTTTTGTTTATAGTTCTTTGATTTTGGCTACTTTGCTGAATTCTATTTATTAATAATAGTTTTTGGGTTTTGTTTTTGGTAATTCTCTTGTTCTAGGTAATAATATGTTTTGCAGTGATTTGTTTTAGCTTTCGATATTTGTACCTTATTATTATTATTATTATTTTTTGAGACGGAGTCTCGCTCTGTCATTCAGGCTAGAGTGCCGTGGCGCTATCTCGGCTCACTGCAAGCTCCGCCTCCCGGGTTCACGCCATTCTCCTGCCCCAGCCTCCTGAGTAGCTGGGACTACAGGCGCCTGCCACCACGCCTGTCTAATTTTCTTTTTTTGTATTTTTAGTAGAGACGGGGTTTCACTGTGTTAGCCAGGATGGTCTTGATATTCTGACCTTGTGATCCGCCCGCCTTGGCCTCTCAAAGTGCTGGGATTACAGGCGTGGGCCACCGCGCCCCACCGTAATTATTTTTTATTTATATACATTTTGCATCTTTTTTCATTTATTAGGACCTCCAATATAATATTGAATAGTAGTGACGATAAAGGACATTTTGTTCATGACTGTCTTTAAAATGGATTTGATGTTGATTTATAGACGTGATCCTCCATAAAGCTAAGGGCTTTATGTGTAGGTTCTTAATTTGCTAAGGAGTGAGTTGTGTATTTTTACAAAATCATTTTTATTGTACAAATCATAAATGAATATTTTTTATTACAAAATGAGAGGTGACAGCGTGCTGGCAGCCCTCACAGCCCTCGCTTGCTCTTGGCGCCTCCTCGGCCTCGGTGCCCACTCTGGCTGTGCTTGAGGGGCTCTTCAGGCCGCCGCTGCACTGTGGGAGCCCGTTCCTGGGATGGCGGAGGCTGGAGCCGGCTCCCTCAGCCTGCGGGGAGGTGTGGAGGGAGAGGCACGGGCGGGAACCGGGGTTGCACGAGGGGCTTGTGAGCCAGCTAGAGTTCCAGGTGGGCGTGGGCTTGGCGGGCCCGCACTCAGAGTGGCCGCTGGCCCCTGGCAGTGAGGGGCTTAGCACCCAGGCCAGCAGCTGCGGAGGGTGCGTCAGGTCACCCAGCAGTGCCAGCCCACTGGCGCTGCGCTCGATTTCTCGCCGGGCCTTAGCTGACTCCCCGCAGGGCAGGGCTCGGGACCTGCAGCCCGCCGTGCCTGAGCCTCCCACCCCGCCGTGGTCTCCTGCACTCCCCGAGCCTCCCCAACGAGCGCCGCCCCCTGCTCCACGGCGCCCAGTCCCATCCATCGCCCAAGGGCTGAGGAGTGCGGGCGCAAGGCAGGGGATTGGCAGGCAGTTCCACCTGCTGGCCCGGTGCTGGATCCACTGGGTGAAGCCAGCTGGGATCCTGAGTCTAGTGGGGACTCGGAGAACCTTTATGTCTAGCTGGGGGGATTGTGGATACACCAGTCAGCACTCTGTGCCTAGCTCGAGGTTAATGAACACACCAATCAGCACCCTGTGTCTAGCTCAGGGTTTGTGAATTCACCAATCAGCACTCTGTGTCTAGCTCAAGGTTTGTAAATGCACCAATCTGCACTCTGTGTCTAGCTGATCTGGTGGGGACTTGGAGAACCTTTATGTCTAGCTAAAGGATTGTGAATGCACCAATCGGCACTCTGTGTCTATCTCAAGGTTTGTGAATGCACCAATCAGCACTCTGTGTCTAGCTCAGGGTTTGTAAATGCACCAATCAGCACTCTGTATCTAGCTAATCTAGTGGGGAGGTGGAGAACTTTTGTGTCTAGCTCAGGAATTGTAAACACACCAATCAGCATCCTGTCAAAATGGACCAATCAGCTCTCTGTAGAACAGACCAATCGGCTCTCTGTAAAATGGACCAATCAGCAGGATGTGGGTGGGGCCAGATAAGAATAAAAGCAGGCTGCAGGCTCCTGGGGTGATAACCCACTTGGGTCGAGTTCCATCGCTGTTGGCGATAAATCTTGTTGGTGTTCACTTTTTGGGTTCTCACTACCTTTATGAGCTATAACACTCACCCTGAAGGTCTGCAGCTTCACTCCTGAAGCCAGCGAGAGTACGAACCCACAGGCAGGAAGAAACTCTGAACACATCCGAACATTGGAAAGAACAAACTCCAAACAAGCCGCTTTTAAGAACTGTAACACTCACCGCGGGGCTCCGCGGCTTCATTCTTGAAGTCAGTGAGACCAAGAACCCAACAATTCCAGACACAAAAAGAGTGAAAATGTTTTAAGAATTATAAAGTGTCGGCTGTGCACGGTGGCTCATGTCTGTAATTCCTGCACTTTGGGAGACCGAGGCGGGTGGATCACTTGAGGTCAGGAATTTGAGACCAGCCTGGCCAACATGGTGAAAACCCCGTCTCTATTAAAAATAAAAAAATTAACCAGGTGCGGTGGTGCACGCCTGTGGTCCCAGCTACCCGGGAGCTTAAGGCAGGAGAATCACTTTGAACCTGGGAAGTGGAGGTTGCAGTGAGCCGAGACGGCACCACTGCACTCCAACCTGGGCGTCAGAGTGAGGCTTGGTCTCAAAAAAAAAAAAATTATAAAGTGTAAAATATCTTTGTATCTCTAGTTTTTCTCCTTTCCCCAGATATATACATTACCATTCCATTTGATTTGTGTACTTTTAGTTCTGTTGTTGTAACTTTATATGCATTTAATGGATACATGTTGTACACATAGCTTTCTTTTTTTTTTAAATTAGGTGTTAGATTTTGTCTCATTTTGTTTCATTAAGTAGATATTAAGTACCTACTATGTATCAGGTCCCCTCCAGGCGTTAACATTCTTTTGTTTATTCAATATCTGTTTATTAAATGTTTGGTATATATATGCCTGGTGTTGTCCCAGGATATAGCTGTGAAGGAAAGAAAAGCTCTGTCCTCAGAGATAACATTCTAATGGTGCAGGCAGAAAATAAAATCAAGTAATGATAAATGGTGCGAAGAAGGTTAAAGTAGGATAAAAGAGAATAGAAATGGGCGAAAGAGCTATTTTAGGTAGTGTGGTCAGAGAAGGCATTTCTGAAAACGGGACATTTCTTTTCTTTTCTTTTCTTTTTTTTGTGACGGAGTCTCGCTCTGTCGCCCAGGCTGGAGTGCTGTGGTGCAATCCTGGCTCACTGCAACCTCCGCCTCCCGGGTTCGAGTGATTCTCCTGCTTCAGCTTCCTGAGTAGCTGGGACTACAGGCGTATGCCACCACACAAGCTAATATTTGTATTCTTAATAGAGTCGGGTTTTCGCCATTGTTGGCCAGGCTGGTCTTTAACTCCCGACCTCAAGTGATCTGCCCGCCTTGGCCTTCCGAAGTGCTGGGATTACGGGTGTGAGCCACTGCGGCCGGGCCAAAAGGAGACATTTCATGAAAGACTTGAAAGAGGTAGAGCAGTCGGGCACATACTTTATCTGGGTCAAGGGCCCCTAAGGCCAACAGAACAGCAAGCACGAAGGCCCTGGACTGAGAGTCTGTTGGCAGTGTTTAGGAAACAACAATAAAGTCATTTGTTTAGAGCAAACAGAATGAAGGAAGAGTAGTGGGAAAGAAGGTTGGAGAGGTAAATGAGAACGAGATTATGTTGAGCATTGTATAGGCCATGGTAAGGATTTTGGATTTTAAGTATGATGGGAAGCCAATGATGAATTTTGAAAAGGGAAATGGCCTTGTATTAATTTGCTAAGGCTGCCATAACAAAATATCAAAGACAGAGTAGCTTAAATAACAGCTCTGGGGTCTAGAAGTTCAAGATCAAGCTGTCAGCCTATTTGGTTTCCTTCCTTCCTTCCTTCCTTCCTTCCTTCCTTCCTTCCTTCCTTCCTTCCTTCCTTCCTTCCTTCCTTCTTTCCTCCCTCCCTCCCCCCTCCTCCCCTTCCCCCCTCCCCCCTCCCTCCGTCCCTCCCTTCCGGAATTCCTTTCTTCCTGAGTCTTGCTCTGTCGCCCAGGCTGGAGTGCAGTGGCGCCATCTCGGCTCACTGCAGCCTTCGCCTCCCGGGTTCAAGCAATTCTGCCTCAGCCTCCCGAGTAGCTGAGACAGACTACAGGCACGCGCCGCCATGCCTGGCTAATTTTTTTGTATTTTTAGTAGAGACGGGGTTTCACCATGTTGGCCAGGATGGTCTTGATATCCTGACCTCATGATCCGTCCTCTTCGGCCCTATTCGGTTTCTTCTGAGGCCTTTCTGGCTTGCGGTTGGCCTTCTCCTTGGTATCTCCTCACATGGTCTTTTCTCTGTGTGCACACATATCTGGTGTACCATCGTGTTTCCAAATTTCTTCATTTTATAAGGATACCATTCAGATTGGATTCAGACCTACTTTAGAGGCCTGATGTTTAGCTTAATTACCTCTTTAAAGGCCCTGTCTCTAAATACAATCACATCCTGAGGTAGTAGGGTTTAAGGATTCAACATAGGATTTTGGGGGGAACACATTTCAGCCCATAGCAGGGCTCATTTGCTTTACTTAGCCTGCTGAGAATTGACTTGAGGTGTGTTGGGGCGTCGGGGGATGGTGGTGGTGGAGGCGAGTATAGCCAGGGTATTGAGGTTAGAATGGAAACAGAGAGTTAGGAGGAGATTAGACACGATGACAACATGCTCTAAGGAAATAGCTGTAGAGTTGATGAGAAGTTATCAGAATTGTGATTTATTTTGAAAGTAGAATGCATAGGATTATTTTGATAGTAGATTTTTAGATTTTTTCTGTTCTGTTTATGAAAAATTTAAGCTGGAAAAAAAATGCACCTTACAAAGACCAAGTAAAGTTCCCCTTCCCTGGCTTTTTTTTTTTTTCCCCCAACCTGAGTTGGTATCTGATACAGATATTGGGACTACCTCAAACTGCTTCTCTATGATTCTGCATCTCTGAGATTCATCTTAGAATTTATTTCTGGACAGATTGTTCATATTCTTGGAAAATAGCTCTTGGATTTTAACTTGTCCTGCTGTTGGGTTGTGTAAGGGAGGAAAATAATTTTTTTCAACCCTCATAAGTTATTATTTGGAATGGTCCCCTGTAACAAAAGAAAAACAAATATAAGTTTGTTAACATGTATAATTCATAAATACATGGGAGATACTCAGAATGAGTTGGCTTTTAATTCCTGCTTATATAGTATCTTCAACAAATGTTTAGCAAAGTGTCAAGACAAAGAAAAAGGACTTTGAGTCTGTAGGGGCAGCAACTTGTAGAAAGGCAAATAATGGCAGGCAAAGCATAATTAGTAAACTTGTTAATGTGGATTCCTTTGGTGTCGTATCCAGACCAATACAGGTGTAAAGTTGTATTTGGTGGTTAACTTGTGTTCTTCCACGGTAAACAGGGGTTGGGTTTTTTTTTTTTTTTTTTAACCTTTTTTGTCTTTGGAGTAAATTTATGTCTTGCTTTTAGGCAAGTGGATAGCAGAGAGCTTTCCTGCATCTGCTTTTTAATTGCCTTCAGTTCAACAATCCTTATGCCAAGGAGGCATATTTAGAGGTGGCATATTGCTGTCTACTTCTGGTGGTCTTGAACATTTTAATCCCTCTGTATCCTTACATGTTGCCCTGCCCTCCCACCCCAACAAGTAGTTAGCTTTTTTTTTTTTTTTTTTTTTTGAGACAGGTTTTTGCTCTGTTGCCCAGGCTGGAGTGCAGTGGCATGAACGTGGCTCACGGCAACTTCCATGTCCCGGGCTTAAGCCATCCTCCCACCTCAGCCTCTGGAGTAGCTGGGACCATAGATACACCATGCCTAGCTAATTTTTGTATTTTTTTTTGTAGAGATGGGGTTTTGCCATGTTACCCAGGCTGATCTTGAACTCCTGGACTCCAGCAATCTACCTGCCTCGGCTTCCCAAAGTGCGGGGATTATAGGCGCAAGCCACTGTGCCCTGCCCTGTTTTGCATTTTGTGTTTATCATTCTTTTGCTTAAAAAAAGTTGGATATATATGTATACCTAAATAATATACTGTTTACTTTTGCTTGTTTTTTGGCATTATGTGAATGGTACTCATATAGTATTTTTTTGTGATTTGCTTTTTTCACTCATGTTTTTAAGATTAACCACTGTCGTAGTTTGTTGCTGAATTCTGTATTTCCCTGTGTTACAATATTCCACTGTGAAGAAAATTTTCATTATATGAATATACCACAGTTTTTTTATTCTGCTGTCAGTAGACTTGGATTGCTTCCAGTTTACATAATTGAGCTTATTGCCCTGAGGCTCTCTTTGCTCTTATTTATTGATCTGAAGCTTAGACTTTTTCTAGGGTTTCCTGGGAAGAACCAATATCTTACTACATGTTTATAGGTCTGTGGTTTTCTCCATTAATCTGATCAAATTTGCATGTCTTCTAATGATTTCTAAAAATTTGTAATCTGCTAACAGTGTCCTTTCCTGTTTTCTGTCTGTCATGATTTTATTTTCAAAAACCAAAAAAAAAAAAACCAAACATTTTTTCTATCACTTAAATGTGATTATTTTTTATTATTTATTTATTAATTTTTGGGACAGGGTCTCATTTTTCACCCAGACTGGAGTAAAGTGGCCCGATCTGGGCTCGCTGCAGCCTGGACCTCCTGGGCTCAAATCATCCTCCCAACCTCAGCCTCCTAAGTAGATGGGACTACAGGCGCATGCCACCATGCCAGGCTAATTTTTTGTATTTTTTGTAGAAATGAGGTTTCGCTACGTTGCCTGCTGGTCTTGAACTCCTGAGCTCCAAATGTGATTATTTTATATGGAAAGTAGATAAATCCCAGTGTTCAGTCTTCCATCTTAGGCCAAAGGTTCTCTTCCTTGTCTTTCTTTGCATGTTATTCTTAGTTTTTGCTTGACTTTTTAAGTGTACCTTGTCTTAGACGCCTTCCCTGACTGCTTGTTTCTTACATTCTGTATTTATCTCTGTCATTCTGTATTATACTGGCTCATCTCATTATTAGACAGTGAATGCCTGATGATGAGGAATTTTGTTTTATCCTTTTTATCCTTAATGCAGCATGATATCTGATATGTAAAGGGTGCTAAATAAATGTTTATTGAATAAATACATGAAAAAATTAGTATAAATGGGGCTGAATGCGATGGCTTATGCCTGTAGTCCCAGCACTTTGTGGGGCCAAGATGGGTGGATTGCTTGAGCCCAGGAGTTCAAGACCAGCTTGGGTAACATGGCAAAACCCTGTCTCTAAAAAAATACAAAAATTAGCCAGGTATGGTGGCCTGTGCCTGTGATCCCAGCTACTCTGGAGACTGAGGTGGGAGGATTGCCTGAGCCCAGGTGGTCGAGGCTGCAGTGAGCTGAGATCGTGCCACTGCACTCTAGCCTACACAACAGAGTGAGACCTTGTCTCAAAGAAAAAGGAAAAAAAAAATTAGTGTAAATGGGAGTGGTCTGTAATAGATACCTAGTCATCAAACTGGCACAGTAGTTTTGCAGATAAGAATCAGGAGCTTGAGATGGTGGCACATGCCTGTAATCCCAGCCACTCAGGAGGCTGAGGTGAGCTGCTTGAGCCCAAGAGTTTAAAATCAGCCTGGGCAGTAAAGCAAACTCTGTCTCAAAAAAAGCAGAATAATCTTCCTGCGGGGCTACCAGTCTGTGGGGGATTTCATTTTCATAGAGATATAACCACTTTTTAGTTCATAAAGGCAGCTTTGGAGACTGATATGTCAAACATTTTATAGAAAAGAAAATCAGCAGTTTAATTTTGTGTGATTTTGCTTTAATATTAAGCTGACATGACTGTTCTGTATATTGAGGGATACAATTTATCTTAGCCTAAGTCTTCTGGTATGATAGAATGTTTAAATACTTACAAACTGAGAAATAGGGGAGGCTGAGTGGTGAGTTGCATATCTTTAGCTACTAAAATGTGTTTTTTGAATAGGTAAATATATTTATGTAGTTCAAAATTTAAAAATACAAACAGCGTATATTATGAAGTGTTCTTACCTTCATTTCCCTCCAGCTGTTCAAAAACTGATTAGCTTTTGGGGTTCCCTCTCCAGAGCAACCAATTTTATTAGTTTACAAATAGTTGTGTGTGTGTGTGTTTGTACTTTTACTTGGATTCTTTTTTTAAAATTCTGCTAAGCTGATTACTTGTATTGGTGTAAAGAACAGCTGAATCAAAATGTGTGATTTTTTTTTTCTCCCCCCAGATACATCAAATTACAGAATGGCTTGCAGGCACTTCTGATTTCAGACCTAAGTAATATGGAAGGTAAAACAGGAAATACAACAGATGATGAAGAAGAAGAGGAGGTGGAGGAAGAAGAAGAAGATGATGATGAAGATTCTGGAGCTGAAATAGAAGATGACGATGAAGAGGGTTTTGATGATGAAGATGAGTTTGATGATGAACATGATGATGATCTTGATACTGAGGATAATGAATTGGAAGAATTAGAAGAGAGAGCAGAAGCTAGAAAAAAAACTACTGAAAAACAGGTGCGAGTCATGTCTGTTTTCTTCTAATTTGGGAATTCTTTGGGTAACTTCTAAACTCAAGCTTTATTTTTTAATGGCAAAAAGGAAGTATATAGTTATCTTTTGGTCTTCAGTAAAGGTCTATTCTGTATCAGGATTACATTTTGAAAACATTTTCCTCCAATTATAAAAGTAGTAAATGCTCATTATATAAACTAATGGAATATAAAGAAAACAAAAATATAAAAATCACCCATAGCTATATCTCTCAGAGGTAATCAACACTCAGAGGTATTTGAATTTATGTGTATTTGTATACATTATATGTTTTAAAAACAAATACTGGTAGATGAGGAGCTGCAGAATTCTTAGCCTGGATTAGAGAAATAAGAGTATGTTATCCTTGGTGAGACTGGAAAAAGAAGAAGAAAAGAATGGGGCTAGTGTGAAATCTTTACATGGGCCTAGGGCTCTAAGAGTTATTGTATGGGTGGCTTCTATATAGATAATTAGATAATTGAGTTTGATTTAGCACTTTATATGGGAACGCAAAGGTCTGGACAAATAAGTACTTTGGAAGAGTTGAAATAGAAACTGGGCAGTTAAGCTTATTTAATATGTAACAACCATCAGTGGATAGATAAATAAGTCTTGATAGGGAGAATTTCTTAATATCTTTTGAAGAATACCTCCATTTTCATAGTAGGGAGTACCCAGAGGATAATTTTCGGAGCCAGTACAGTGGAATTGACCAGCAAAAGTTAGTTAAAGCTAGTTTCTTGAATATTGATAATATATTCAACATGGTACAGTCTACATACAAAGAGGCCGAGATGGGCAGATCACTTGAGTCCAGGAGTTCTGAGACTAGCCTAGGTAATGTGGTGAAACCCTGTCTCTCTAAAACATTAAAAAAAATTAGCTGGGTGTGGTGGCACATGCCTGTGGTTCCAGCTACTTGACAGGCTGAAGATGGGAGGATCACCTGAGCCCAGGGAGGTTAAGGTTGCAGTGAGCTTTGATTACACCACTGCACTCCACCCTGGCCAACAGAGTGAGACTTTGTCTCAAAAAAAAAAAAAAAAAGAAAAAGAAAAAAAGTGGTCACCCTTAAAGGTGGGAAGAGTTGAGGTATAAGTAGTAGATATGATTTAATAGTTATTCTTCTTGGAAAAAATTATTTTTTAAAAAGAAAGATTGTACCAGTTTTTTACTAAGTTGTTGGATTGAGTAATATTTTTAAGAAGCTTTTTCCTGTTTACTACTCAGATTATTAGTGATCCTGTTTTTGGGTAGCATGATAGACCAAGTATTAAATAGTTTTAACTTGGAAGGCTGTAGAGATGAACATCAAAACACTGGGGGAAAAAAAGGTATATATATGTCACTTGATAGTCTGTATGCTAAGGTCTCTATGAACAGATTGGAAATTAATAGATTCACTTTTAACTTAAAATAGATCTCATAATTCCAAATAGAGCATTAATAGGAAGAAATTATAAAAGTCACAAAAAAAAAGAACACTGACAGTCAGGAAACCTGGGTTCTACTTCTGGCTCTGTTCCTTTCTTTCTGCGTGATTTTAGGTGTTTTCATTTTCTTTCTTTTTTTTCTCAGTTTTAAAACAAGAATATAAAATTCTGAGGCCTATTTTAGCTCTAAGCCAGACCATGTTATAACTTCTTAACTGAATACTTCTTATCTATACTTTTTTTCTATATCTTTCCATCTATCTGTAAGTAGCTTTTCCCATGATCTGACTTGTTTATATTTCCTATTAACTGACAAAGCATTTAAAAACAGTTAAAAATTGTCTCGACAGGCATTTTAAATGTCAAGACATTATAAAATACTTTAGATTTATACAGCAATTGTGAACACCTTTGACAAATGAACATGTCTGTTCAGCCTTTTTGGTACCCCTTTTTATTTTGCTTAGGTAGATCAAATTCTAAGTTGATCTTTTCTAGCAGCAGGGTCAGAGTCTAGTGATCGTTTTTAAAATGGCTTAGATGCTACCTTTCTTTTCTGAGAACTCAGTGTGATATAATCCTTATAAGATATTGACAGCTAATTTTATGGATTATCCTACCGGGACAGTGGAACCTAAGTAGTTTGAAGACGAGAAATTGTTTTGATTCAGAAGCAATGGGTTCACTAGTGAAAGGAAAGATCCCACGATCGTAAGTGGTAAATGTTTATATTTGTTGAATAACTCTCTGAAAAAAGGAAATAAAGTAGATTAGCCTTGGTAAGAGGTGGCTTAAGAGTGGTTTTATGATCTAAGTTTTATTTGAAAAATGTGTGAAACTTGTTTAAGGTAAATGTGAGAATTAATAAAGGAATTGAGAAGAAAGATATTTGATCGTTTTTTGAATAACATTTACCTAATTAAGAAGTTAACTACTTTTCTGAGGCATCTTTTTTATCCCTCTCCGTTTTCCTCCTCCCAAAAGAAGTTGTTCTTGATTTTAAAAGTTTGATAAATTAACAAGGTTGAAATTTGAATATGATATACATTGAATTAAGATTTGTTCAGGGCTTTCTTAATTCAGTTCTCAAGTATGAATTTCTCAGGTCTGAATTTTTTAGGTAGAAAATTCTCAAGTATGAATTTCTTTTCTAGCAATTGCAGAGCCTGTTTTTGCTGTGGTCAAAGCTGACTGATAGACTGTGGTTTAAGTCAACTTATTCAAAAATGTCTTCAACCCTGCTGGTCGAGACAAGAAATCTTTATGGGGTAGTTGGAGCTGAAAGCAGGTTAGGCACCTATTAAAACATCACAGAACAGGTTAGATTGTGGTTTGAAGAACTGGATATTCCCCAATGTTTTAACTGAGTTTATGTGCCTAAGTCTTCAAAATGGGGTTTATAGTATCAAGTGAGGCTGTTTGGTTCTTCTGAAAACACACTCATTTTCTGACACATGGCTAGACTTTATGCCAGGTACATGCTATTTTTGAAAAGCTCTTTTTTAAGAGGTAACTGTTTATTAAAACAATCTGTTTCACCAAATATGTTAGCCCTGTAAAATTGACATTTACAAAAGTTTGAAGAAAACAAATTTGGGAAAGTTAATAATTCGCCTTTCTATCTTCAAGGATTCAAATTGACCGTTTTTTCTCCTTTTTTTGTCTTTTAACTTACTGTAATTATGCCCCAATAGTTCGGGTGCAGTGGCTCACGCCTATAATCCCAGCACTTTGAGAGGCTGAGGTGGGAGGATTGTTTGAGTCCAGGAGTTTGAGACCAGCCTGGGCCTCATAGCAAGACCCCTGTCTTAAAAAAAAAAAAAAAAAAAAGTCCCAATCATTTTAAGTGCAGTTTGGTGTACCTCTTGGCCATCAATTTTGTTAAAAACTCTGATTTTCCCAAAGTATTGGGAGAATATATACTGATAAGTAATATATGCTGTATATCTTCAATTAGAAGTGAAGAACTAAAAAGCCTCTTTAAAATTTAGTTATACTTTTTAATAGCTACCGATTTTATCTTTTTTTATCACTTACTATTTTTGTTAGATGTTTTCCTAAAATGTTATCTTATTCTATCTTAACAAAATTTTCTAAGTTACATGTTGACAGGTTTCACATCTAGTAACTGAGTCACTCAACACAAAGCTTTTAATTGCTTAGAGATCTTCAGAGATATCTATCTAGATATGTTACTTCCGCAGATTTCCAAAATCTAGTAATTCAGGGAAAAAACTTGGTTCAGAATTATGAAATGCTGACATGAAATGATATTTGGGTGGGCTGTCCAGTCCCTCTTCCCTTTTTTTCTGTCTGTTTCTGCTTTTTTTCCTTAGGTCTGCACCTGTTCAGCATTTGGCAGGATGGCAAGCGGAGGAGCAGCAGGGTGAAACTGACACAGTTCTGGTGAGTTTCACTTTGCTGCTCCTCCTGATTCTCAGGGAAAGAATTTTGTTACTCCTATTGGAAAACATCCATCTCCAAATGAATCCTTAAGATAAGATGCGAATATTATTCCTTTAGGGTTGACTCAACTATTTGTATGTGTTCTAATTACTCCAGTCTGCAGCGGCTCTTTGTGTTGGAGTTGGGAGTTTCGCTGATCCAGATGACCTGCCGGGGCTGGCACACTTTTTGGAGCACAGTAAGAATTTGTAAAATATCATTCCTGGTGTGTTTTTTTCCCCCCTCCAAACTTATATGAATTGATATCAAAGATTAGCAAGTGATTTGACAGAAGTATGATATATTTAGCAAGAGAAAAGGCTAAGAAAAAATCCTTGATTTATGAATATCGTGGGGGAAACAATCTGAGTGTACTTATATTGAGAGTTAGAATGAAACCACACAGAAAACTTTTAAACTGTAGATGTCACTATTGTTGAGCTATGTTAAGGCCAACGGATCAGGAGATGATTGCCATTTTCTAGGAAATGACCAGTCCTGGGGAGGGCAGTCCCTTCCAGGGTTAGCAAGGCCCCCAGCCAAACATCAGAAATACAGGAATTCCCTGGGTGAGGTGGCTCACGCCTGTAATCCCAGCACTCTGGGAGGCTGAGGTGGGTGGATCACTTGAAGTCAGGAGTTCGAGACCAGCCTGGCCAACATGGTGAAACCCCATCTCTACTAAAAATACAAAAATTAGTTGGGCGTGGTGGCATACACCTGTAGTCCCAGCTACTTGGGAATCTGAGGCAAGAGAATCATTTGAACCTGGGAGGTAGAGGTTGCAGTGAGCTGAGGCTGTGCCACTGTACTCCAGCTTGGGTGATAGAGCAAGACTGTCTCAAAAAAAAAAAAAAAAAAACAAGAAACAAAAAAAACCTAGAAATTCAAAAGGCATGATTAATATAAAAACAAAACAATAGAAGCTTTTCATTTAATTTGGAATGTACCTAAATAAAACTTACACGGGGCCGGGCGCGGTGGCTCACTCCTGTAATCCCAGCACTTTGGGAAGCCAAGGCAGGTGGATCACCTGAGGTCAGGAGTTCGAGACCAGCCTGGCCAACATGGTGAAACTCCATCTCTACAAAAACACAAAAATTAGCCGGGCATGGTGGCGCACACCTAGAGTTCCAGCTGCTCTGGAGGCTGAGGCAGGAGAATCACTTGAATCCAAGAGGCGGAGGTTGCAGTGAGCCGAGATCACGCCATTGCACTCCAACCTGGGTGACGGAGCGAGACTCCAGCTCAAAAACAAACAAACAAACAAAAAAACTCTATGTGGATGTTATATAGTTACAAATATTTATTTTTATTTTACAAATATTTATTTTAAATTACTCTTTTTTTAATGGTCTGGTTTTCTAAAGTATTTGAGGGTATACTTCTTACTTTGTGAATTTTTATAGTAGCCATTAATCTGCATATGTTTGTGCTTAAATTTTAATCTCCTTAAATTTAATTGAAGAGATTAAGTTGTAACAGCAGTAGCAGTTAATCTGCATATATGTTTGTGAATTTGTTTGAATTTTAATCTAATTAATAAAAGGTGAATTTTAATCTATTTAGACTTAAATATATTTGTGATCTCTTTATAAGTTATATGTTCGTCTTATCTTTCTTTAAAGATGAAATTTTTTTTTTTTAGTATAAAAGTAACATGAGCATAATAGAAAGTTACAAAATCAAATGTAATGAAGAAAGTATTATTTAGGGTCAGGTGTGGTGGCTCACGCCTGTAATCCCAGCACTTTGGGAGGCCGAGGTGGGCAGATCACTTGAGGTCAGGAGTTGGAGACCAGCCTGGGCAACCTGGTGAAACCCCATCTCTACTAAAAATACAAAAAATTAGCCAGGCATGGTGGCAAGTGCCTGTAATCCAGCTACTTGGGAGGCTGAGACACTTGAACCCAGGAGGTTCAAGAATCACTTGAACCCAGGAGGCAGAGTTTGCAGTGAGCCAAGATTGCACCACTGTGCTCCATCCTGGGCAACAGAGTGAGACTCTGTCTCAAAGAAAAAAAAAAGAATTCAGACATAACCATTTGATGTGTTGGTCTATTTTCTTTCAGTTTTTCTATGCATATAAGAAAGTTCATGTGTGATAAAAATATTTTCTATATCTTTGTGTTGTGTGACTTTGTGTTCTTTCCATTTAGTGGTATTCATGGGTAGTTTGAAATATCCAGATGAGAATGGATTTGATGCCTTCCTGAAGAAGCATGGGGGTAGTGATAATGCCTCAACTGATTGTGAACGCACTGTCTTTCAGTTTGATGTCCAGAGGAAGTACTTCAAGGAAGCTCTTGATAGGTAACTAACTCTAAATATACTTTAATTTTAATGATCTAATGGCACTTTGCAAATGTAAATAGAGTGTTCTTGTACAGTAGAATTGTCACAATACTTTACTTGGACCAGTCATGGTGACTCATGCCTGTAACTCAAGTACTTTGGGAGGCTGAGGTAGAAGGCTCGCTTAAAGCCAGGAGTTTGAGACCAGCTTGGGCAAAATAGTAAGAACCTGTCTCTACAAAAATAAGTAAATAAAAAATTAGCCAAGCATGATGGTGAGTGCCTGTAGTCCTTGGCACTCAGGAGGCTGAGGTGGAAGGATTGCTTGGGTCCAGGAATTCGAGGCTGTAGTGAGCTACAGTCACACCACTGCACTCCAGCCTGGGTGACAGAGTTTGTTTGAGACCCTGTCTCAAACAAAACTTTATTTGGAGAAAAAAGCTGTTAAACTGTTAAATACACTTTGACTCTTGTTCTATTATATATAGTCTTTGTATTAAAGATTAAAATAAAAGTCAACACCTTTTGGGTTTTATTAATTTTATTAATTATGTATTCTCTGTTGACTCATTATGACTTTTTTTTTTTTTTTTTAAGAGATATGGTCTTGCCATGGTGCCTAGGCTGGAGTGCTGTGGTGCAATTGGCCATCAATTGCATGAATGCATGGCTCAGTGCAACCTCAGCCTCCCAGGCTGAATGTGCCACCGCTCCCAGCTAATTTTTAAATTTTTTTGTAGAATTGGGAGTCTCTCTGTATTGCCCAGGCTGGTTTCAAACTCCTGGCCTCAAGTGATCCTCCTGCCTCAGCCTCTCAAAGTGCTGGGATTATAGGTGTGAGCCACTTTGCCCAGCCACTTAAAAAACAGAATTTAGTAGAAAATATGGAGAAACAGAGAAGCAAAAAAGGGATAAGATTGCCTCCAACTTTATAATCTAGAGATAACCACCATTAATGTTTTGGTATAGACCCATCTATATTTTTTAAAGTATACCGATCATATTGTTCATACCCTTTTATAATTGTTAATTTTAAGCAAGATATATCATTTTAACTTACATAATTTATAAAACATGATTTTTAGTGATTGTATGTTATTTACATTGTATAGAAGTACCATAAGGTGTTTAATCAGTTACATATGATTGGACAGTTGAGTTGTTTCCAGTTTTCTAATACTGTGATGATTATCCTGATCTCTGTGAATATCCTTAATTATTTCTATTAAGTTCTAAGCAGTGAAATTGCTGAGTATATTTGCAAATATATTTTTAAGACTTTTTTTTTCTTTAAGCTTTTGAAATTCATTGCAAAATTGTTTTCCAGAAAGTTTGTCAGTACAATAGTAGAAGTTTGAGATTACAGGGTTGCAGACCAAAGTCTACCCCGGAAAAAAGTAGAAAAGTAGAAAAAAGTTATACCTAATTCTAGATATATGCAAGATTGAAATGTAAAAGAAAAAAGAAACCTCACGTTTGTCTAGTATAATGTAAGCTCCTTCAGAGCAGGAATTTTTATCTATTTTTTGTTGATACATCTGCAAATCAATAATTTGGTAGATACTCAGATTTGTTAAATGAATTAATGCAGTTCCTTTATAGCAAAAATTACCATAAAATCAAAAGATAAATGACCAAAAAAAATTTTTTTTAAACATGATAGAGATCTAATATTTTTTTTAAAAATTGGCCTGGTGTGGTGGCTCACACCTGTAATCCCAACACTTTGGGGGGCCGAGGTGGGCGGATAACTTGAGGCCAGGAGTTCGAGACCAGCCTGGCCAACACGGTGAAACCCTGTCTCTACTAAAAACACAAAAATTAGCTGGGCTTGGTAGCATGTGCGTGTAATTTCAGCTACTTGGGAGGCTGAGACAGGAGAATTGCTTGAACCTAGGAGGCGGAGGTTGCAGTGAGCTGAGATCATGCCATAGCACTCCAGCCTGAGTGACAGAGTGGGACTCTGTCTCAAAAACAAAATAAAATAAAAAAGATAAAATAAAAAGAAATTATCTCTTTTCTTAAGAGATTAATTTGATCTGGAAAAATCCTTTGGACATATTCCTATAAATTGGAAGCATATGCCACTATTTATTTATTTTTTTTTTGGAGACAGTCTCACTCTGTTGCCCAGGCTGGAGTGCAGTGATGTGATCTCGGCTGACTGCAGCCTCATGCCTATAATTCCAGCACTTTGGGAGGCCAAGGTGTGTGGATCACTTGAGCCCAGGAATTCGAGACCAGCCTGGCCAACATGGTGAAACCCCATCTCTACTAAAAATACAAAAATTAGCTGGGTGTGGTGGCGCAGGCCTGTAATCCCAGCTGCTTGGGAGGCTGAGGCACGAGAATTGCTTGAACCTGGGAGACGGAGGTTGCAGTGAGCTGAGATCGCACCACTGTACTCCAGCCTGGGTGATGGACCGAGACCCTGTCTCAAAAAAAAAAAAAAGAAAGATAAATCAATGAAGGCAATGCAAATGATGCCTGAGATGATCTTTCCTATAAATTTAGACAGGATCAGCAATACCTTCAGAGGAGACTTTAACCATACAACTTTGAAGAAAACTGCATCTTTACTCTTGTTACAGAGTTCTCAGCTCTTAAGTTTTACAGAATCCAAACAGGTCTTTGTATGTGTGAAGAAATCTTAAGCAGAAGACAAGTTGAATTTTTACAACTTTATATTTAGCTTTGTCCATATACAAAGAAGGAAAAATAACTGATTTTATTGGGAAAAAGGATAGGCAAATGGTATGTATGATATGAATACATTCTGGCCATCTCAGAGATGATGAAATTTGGTATAAAATGTAGTTAAGAAATTTGTTTTGTTTCCTTTTAAAGAGTTGTTCTAAATATGTTTTGTACAAGGACTGCTTCAGCATCTAAGAATATCACCTTACACATTTATTTTTATTTAAAAAGAAAGCCACCCAATAAGAAAGCCACTGCATTAATAGGATAAATTAATGAGAATATCAAATCATAAATTTATGCCATAAGTAGAGCATTATAGGGTGCAAATACTATAATAAATGCTATAATATTATACTTCTACAATGTATAAGGAAAAGCCTTTATACGTGTGTAATATGCTCTTATATAACATGGATTAAGTACCTGTTTTTAATAGGTTAGCAAAATCTGATTCCCTCACACAGGCCACATTGTTTATAAGTATCTTTTAAATAAACAGCTGAGGAAATGACTAAATTTTTACTCCAGTTAAGTAAGTGAGCATGGAAGCCGTCTTTACCATGGTGGCGTCTTCTATTTTCAGTAAATTTGAACTTTATTTTATCAGTATTTCATGGTAAGAGTGACAAATATCAAAGCTTAGGATGTCCACTTCTAACAGGAGACCCTCCCCATTATAAGCGGGAATACAAAATCTTCACTTTCAGGTTGTGAAAAAGGATGAGGCGTCCTGAGTAGTTATAGCCTAGATTCCAAGTGCCTGAGTATTCTGGGGAACCCCAAGTCTTGATTGTAGCTTCATGGGCAGAACTGGTAGTGTTCCCAGGAGCCTGGGAGAAGCAAACATAAGGCATCTCAAAAGGAAGATGCCTTCCTTCTAGGCCCTAAATTGTTACAAATATTTTTTCAAGTAAAATAACCAACATTCAGTCAAAAATAAGCAGGTACTCAGGAAAATAATACAACATGATTGAGAACAGATAACACAAACAGATTCTGAGACATCTCAAGTACTGGCATAGTTACACACAATTTCTAAAATAATTATACTTTCTATTTTTTAAGAAATAAAGGCCAGACGCAGTGGCTCATGCCTGTAATCTCAGCACTTTGGGAGGCCGAGGCGGGTGGATCACGAGGTCAGGAGTTTGAAACCAGCCTGGCTAATATGGTGAAACCCCATATCTACTAAAAATACAAAAATTAGCCGGGTCCGGTGGCGGGTGCCTGTAGCCCCAGCTACTTGGGAGGCTGAGGCAGGAGAATCGCTTGAACGTGGGAGGCAGAGCTTGCAGTGAGCCGAGATAGTGCCACTGCACTCTAGCCTGGGTGACAGAGCGAGACTCTGTCACAAAAAAAAAAAAAAAAAGAAATAAAAGACAAATTTGAATATACTTGCAAGGAATAAGAAACTGTCAAATATGACCTAGGAAATTTGTAAAATGAAAAGATACATCTTGAACTGAACTATGATAAAAAAAATTGAAAATGTCATGGACAAGTTTAAGAGTAAATAGAGTTGAAGATAGAATTAGTAAGCCAGAAGATAAGACAGAAGGAATTAACCCAAGTATAGCATAAAGAACATATATAACCCAAATATAGCATATAGCACAAAATTAAAAATACAAAGAATATGAAGCATAGAGGATAGAATGAAAACATCCCATGTATTTTACTTGTAGTTGTAGAAGGAGGAGAGAGAAAATTGAAGTAGAGACAACAGTTGAAGGGTTGATCACTGGAAAATTTTCAGAACCTGTTGTAAGACATCAAATCAGAGGTTAAAGTCTAATAACTTCCAAAAGGATACATTAGAAGAAATATGGAAAATTTTTGCCAGATAAAGAGAAAATTTTCTTCAAAGGAAGATGAGTTACACTTACAGATGACTACTCAACTTCGTGCTCTGAAGGAAAATAACTACCAACTAATAACTAGAATCATAAATTGTACACTAAATAAAAATATCTTTTAAGAATGTTAGTAGGCTGGGCATGGTGACTCATGCCTATAATCCC
This sequence comes from Homo sapiens, assembly GCF_000001405.40. NCBI lineage: Eukaryota > Metazoa > Chordata > Mammalia > Primates > Hominidae > Homo > Homo sapiens. Next base: position 51,829,313 of record NC_000001.11, on the reverse strand, counting down.
AGCACTTTGGAAGGCCAAGGCAGGTGGATCACTTGAGCCCAGCAGCTGGAGACCAGTCTGGGTAACATGGTGAGGGAAAAAAATTAGCAGGGCATGATGGTACATGCCTGTAGCCTCAGCTACTTGGGATGCTGAGGTGGGAGGATCACCTGAGCCTGGGGAGTTCAAGGCTCCAGTGAGCCGTGATGTGCCACTACACACTCCAGTCTGGGTGACAGAATTAAATAAAATTAGTTTCATTATTTAAGTCAACAGAAATTATCCAACCCATCATTAATCATACCAAGTACTGAAAAGAAAAAAAATGCCCCAATATATCTAGCAGGTAGTTAAGTTAAAAGTTACCTTATTGCAAGCAAAAGTTAAAAGTTTTTTAAAGAAGCCTGAGCAATATAGGGAGACCCTGTCTCTATAAAAAATTTAAAGATTTAAAAAAAAATGGTAGTGCACACCTCTAGTCTCAGCTACTTCGGAGGTTGAGGCAGGAGGATTGCTTGAACCCGGCAGTTTGAGGCCGCAGTGAGCAGTGATTGTGCCACTGCATTCTAGCCTGAGTGATAGAGTGAGACACTATATCCAAAAAAAAAAAAAAAAAGTTTACTAAACATTTTAGGAAATTAATTTTTTAAATCATTCTATTTTGCTGGAAAAACACCAATACACCAATCTTTGAATAATTTTTAACAATTTAATTGCATTGCTATTATGTATTTATATAAGTGGTAATTTGTATATGTAATTTGATACATCACAGTTTATATAATTAAAAATTAATTTAAAAAGCAGATGAAATTATAAGATTAACTTAAATACCAAGTCTTTAAAATTCTAATTTAACTTTTAACTGAAACGTTTTTAGTCATCTGTAAACTTGCATTGAACTAAAAAAGTAAGCTTTATATACTCTATAAAAACATGGATATACATAACATTACATAAATAGACTATCTGTGATATTACAATTTTACAAAGGAATGAATAGGAGAACATTTCCGAAAAGGCTCCTAAGGGTTGAAAATGGAAATAAAAAGGGTTGATAAACATTGGGTTAGAAATAGGTATATAGGTAATAAAACTATAAAGAAAAGGAGAGAAATTACTGCTATACATTCAGGATATTTCTTGAGGTAAGGGTAGGAGCTGGGTGCTTCTAGAGTGTTGACTATGGTCTGTTTCTTCACCTGGGTGGGCCACTCAGGTGTAGTTTATATGTTCATGTTTTGTTAACTTTTCTGTATGATTGTTATTAAATATATTTCACAATGAAAAAGTTAAAGTAACATGTAGATATTAGTTTAAAATATAGAAATGCAGATTATTTAGATTTTATATACTTAGGATTGTGAATTAAATCTCCAACTTAGTAAGTTTCTTAATTAAAATAATAGATGTTGATTGATGAAAGTGAACAAAAACGGAAATGCCAGTTTTGTTTTTTGTTCAGATGGGCGCAGTTCTTCATCCACCCACTAATGATCAGAGATGCAATTGACCGTGAAGTTGAAGCTGTTGATAGTGGTAAGAGGAGTACTTTATGTGTAACTACAGTTTTTTCCTTCATGAAACCAGTTACTTATTACATTTATCCTTCTTTATCTCTAGACCATTTTATCTTTATATTTTAAAGGACTAAATTGAAATATGTGTTATGTTTGTTCCTGAAGTCATTAAACATCTAATTCAGTGTAGATTTGAAGTAAATGAAAAGGATGGTGGATTTTAGTTTTTTCATCCTTTGTTTTTCGAAGGTTTTACCATAGGGGCTAATCTTTTGAGATTCAAAGATTGAAGACTATAAAGGAAAAGAATGTGCTTATATAGGGTGAGGCTTCATTATAGATCTGTGCTATAAATATTCCTTAATTACATAGTACCAATAAATATCACCATTGTATATTATCCCTGCTTGATTTATTTAAGTATTAGAAGCATTTAATACTAGACTTGAGGGGACTTCCAGTTCATATAGGTTAGGCTTGGCTTATAGCCACTGCAAGTCTCTGTATTTGTTCCACTTTTTGTAGTATTTCCCTCCTTGGTTTGATGCAGTGTCTAGTTCTAATAATGATGTAAAGCATTTACTAGGCTGAGTAAACTACAGATGGCTAGAGTGATCTATCTGGAAGTCAACAGACCCCTGTTTAACTTACAGAAGTGTCTAGCTGTGGCATTCAGTTTATTTGTAAAAAAGGATGGAATGGTTAAGCTCCTCCTAGCTGTAGTAGCTCCTTGGAAATCAAGGATTTATTTTCTTTATTTTTTTACTTGCCTACCACAGTGTCTGTTTTACCTTAAACCCAGTTAAATACCTGTTGAATGGATGAAAAAACAAAACAACTAAGGATAACTAAAAGCACTTTTCATATTTTGAGACTCAAGAACTGTTATCTGTGTCTTAAATGCTTTCTAGTATGTTTTTCTTTATACAGTTTCTAGAGTGGGTTGACACCAGTGTTTAAACAAGCAGACCTTTAATTAGATTTTACAATTTTAAGCCAGAATATATTTTATTATGCTTTGAAAAATTATGCTGAAAGAAATATATATGTATATACACACACAGTATGGAGTTTTGGTTTATGCTGAACTAAAGTAAAAATTCTGTTGTGCTTTTGTTCATGATCTGCCTGCTTCGGCCTCCCAGAGTGCTGGGATTACAGGTGTGAGCCACTGCGCCCGGCTGATAAATTATTTTTAATAATTGACTTTTTATTTTAATGATGGTTTATACTCACATAAACATATATAATT